>NC_000002.12:188095678-188398708 GCF_000001405.40 Homo sapiens
AACTTCACAGCTAGTAGTTTTAAAAGAGTACCAAAACAGATTAATATATTGTTGCATTACAGGCATAAAATGTCTTTGGAATATTTTTAATTTGGACTACTACACTATAACATAAGCCAAAAATTCATATTTCATGTAAGTGCCATAAAACTAGAGGTGTACTTGTTAAACCTCACTGGTGCCCAATGTTCTGCTGGAAGGGAGAAAAAGATTACTTCTAGCAATATGACTTGCAAGAAGAAGTAATTTTCTCATAAATCGTTATTAGACATTTCATTGTCTCCAAAACATAATTTAAGTATCTTAGAAGGAAATGAATAAAAGGAGGAAAAAGTCTCAAAAACATCATCAGCAAAATCTTGAAAAATGTTATTAAAAATTGTTCTTATTCAAAAATTCAATTCTACTCATAAGTCAGATTGCTTCAAAGTAGCTTGATATCCTACAATATAACAATTGAAGTCAAAATATTCTACATGCACTATTTTAGGAGATTTGTTATTTGAGAATAAACATATGCTTAACTATGTAAAAAGCAGTGGAAGTTTGCAAACTAGAATGATTAAGTAAAATTATTAGGACTTGTAGCCAAAAAATGCTTTTGCAGACCACTTTCATGGGACAAGAAAGTGCAGAATTTTATTCACTAAACATGTAATGACTGTCTCTTATACTTGAAATGGTGGTACAGAAGATAAAAAGATGAACAGTGTGGATTCTCAACTTCAGGAATAAAAAATACATGTTGACAGCATTCAAAAAAATAATAATAATATAGCAAGTTCCACAAGTGAATCTGGATGGATGTGAGGGGTATTGTATTAGGAAAGGCCTTTATCAAATAATTAGCTTTTTAATATAAAACTAAATGGTGATAGCACATTACAAAAACTCAAAAAGAAAGTTAAACTGAACATAAAGAGAAAATGTATGAAGCTAGAAAAGCATACATGATGTTCTACTGTCATGCAATATTTTAATTTGGCAGAAGTTCATGTGATGAGAAGTTGTAATTAATTAGAAATATAGGCTAGAACTAGATCATTGAGTAATAAAAGAACAGATAAAGACAACACAATAAAAAATTTTTTTAATGAACCAACATATAAAGTTAGGTACTATCAAGTGTAGCAAATTATAAATAAGGCTGGATCAGAGAATTTTGTGTAAGAGATTTTTAGCATAAAGCACAGGAAGCAAAGGCCCAGGAGTTGAACATGAATCAGAGAGAGACAGGCAGAGGCCAGACAGTGTATGACACAGGAGAGACTTTGGGCGAACTGCAAAAGAAAACCATCTGAAGGTTTAGAGCAGATGATAATTTGATCTTATTGTTGTATTTAAAGGTTCTCTGGCTATCACTGTGCCACAGTAGATTACATGGTGCTGGGGATCATCAAAACTGGAAGCAAGAGTAGTACAAGGGGAAAGCTACTACAGTAATCCATGCAGCCACGGTGAGAGTGGTCAGCATGGTGAGAGGTGACTGGTTCTACGAGATATTTTGAAGATGTAGCTCATAAAACTTGTCATATAGGATATGGATATGAAGAGAAAGACAATTCAAGAATCCTTTTCAGGGGTTTTGACTTTAGTACACAGGCAGATAGTGGTGCTATTCACTGAAATACAGGAACATTGTGGTGGGAACAAGTTTGGTATGTAGAGTGTGTGGGAATTGATAATTCAGTTTAGGATGCACTAAATTTGAGATGTCTGCTAGACATCCATGTTGAGAAGTTAATAGCCATTTGGATATATGTCTAGATTTCTGGAGAACATTTATGGGTACAGATAAAATCGAGAGTTGTCAGAACTTAGCGGCAATTAGATGCCATGGAATTGAAAGTTTCATGTAGCGCATGAGAGCAGAGAAAGAAAAGAAAAGGACATCTGGGTCTAAGCTCTGGGGTACTCCGATATAAAGAGATTAAAAAAGATAATAAGGATACAGAAAATGACACAGATAAATTGTAGCCAGTGAAGAATGCAGAATATGAGGCACAGAGTTAAAACAATACAATAAATAAGCAAATCTAGTGAGAAGGGCTAGTTTCAATGAATAGCCTCAAAATAAAAATAGTTTGTTTATCATGACAATGATCTTTGCTTACTTTCATAGACAGCAATTTAATTAATACATTCTGATAGAGACTGATACTTCCACAAAACTGGAATTAAAGAATGTTCCAGATAATTTTATGAAGGAAAAATATATATGAAAATATAATGAAAAGGCCGGACAGTATTGATATTCTTATGCACACAGAGGGATAAATTAATAAGTAATCATTTCTGTGAAAACAATTTTAAAACCAACTCAAATCCAAAAATCTTAGAGACTCCCATTTTGGTTAACCAAACATTGCAAACATTCACCAATTTAATTGCATTTCTGGAAAAGTGTTCAAAGTCAGAATGAGTAATAAAACTTAAACAATTTTTTTCTTTTAGAAATTAACATCAGGGTTGGACCTATAATGGGAAAAGTAATAAGGTAAAGAATTTATATATTATAAGTTCCAAGTAAAATATTAAGTGACTAGGAGAATGAATGCAAGGAAAGCCTTTGATTAAATAAAATGAAGTGTTTGCTTCCCTTGTTGACATAAATCAGTAACAGCTTTCTAAAGAAATCAAGGAGATAATCAGTAGTGCCTGAAACTAAGTGCTCTTTATTTCTTGCTGCTTTTAGTGTCTTTTCATAGAAGAATAAAGGTGTAATTCAGAAAATGTCCATTTTTCCCCATTCACTTTCTTTTAACTCCAGAAGATTTGCACAACTACTTTCACATATTTATATTTACCAACCAGACACTGATAAACAACTCAGGCAAAAGGGGAAAGGAACCTCTTCAGCACTTCCTGACAATACTCTTTTACTCCAACCCAAATCAGGAAGTCTCGGAGCTTCCCAGTGCAAAAGATTCCCACTCTTCCATGTTGTACAGGATACTGCACATGCCCATGTGTCTTAATGAGAAATCATGGTTACCTAACAAGGGCTAGGTGCTGGCCTGACTTTTCAGAACCACACTACCTGGGATACACCCTGTGAAGTATGCAGTTTGACAGAAGGAGAGTACCAAATAGTGAAAACTTGCAGGCTCTGAGAAGTTTGAATTGTCACAACTCGTCCCACACAGAAACCAATACATAAATGGCTCATCATTCAAGTCACTTAGAATTGCATTAAAACTAGAATTGGCATATTTAGCAAATAACACAGGAATCCCAGCTAAATTTGAATCTGCGAAAAACAATGAGCAATTGTTTTGTATAAATATATCCCACGCAATATTTGGAACATATTTATACTCACAAAAATATTCATCATTTATCTGAAATTCAAATTGCACTGGAAACTCTGCATTTTATCTGGCAACACTAACTGTAATCTCAAAATTCCCAAAGAAGACATGGTCTCATGTGTATTGGCCTAATTCCATACTTTTTTCCAAAAAAATAAAATGCAGAAAATAATGCATTCATTATTTTCCTATAAATGGAAATAAATGCATCTTGAAGAGAGATTATGTACACCTAAAGTTTCACTACTTCTCTATAAAACTCTTTATAAAAATATTTCATTCTATCATACTGTATTAATATAATTATATAGCATAGTTGAACTAGAGAGATTTTGTTAGCTCTCTTAAAATAGAGCCAATAACCAATTTTATGCAACTGAAATAACTTAGAATATTATTTACGTACTAGTAAATTAAGAACCCAGCCCTATATCTAGTCAAAAATTCTCACCTTTAAAATTTAAAAATTATTTCTTGTACATTTAAGTTTCGTTGTTGTTGTTGTTGTTTGTCTCACCCTGTCTCCCACGCTGGAGTGCAGTGGCACAATCTCTGCTCACTACAAGCTCCGTCTCCCAGGTTCAAGCAATTCTCCTGCCTCAGCCTCCTGAGTAGCTGGGATTACAGGTGCCCACCACCACGCCCCACTAATTTTTATATTTTTAGTAGAGATGGGTTTCACCATGTTGGCCAGGCTGGTCTAGAACTCCTGACCTCAGGTGATCCGCCCACCTCGGCCTCCCAAAGTGTTGGGATTACAGGCGTGAGCCACGGTGCTCGGCCAGTATTTCGTATTTTTAAAAGAACACCCACGTGTTTTCATGCTCTCCATAGGCATTGCTTCAGATAACATGTGTACTTAAGGTACCAGGTGCAGTCATATTACCCCATTCCTGCGGTTGAAGTTGTGTGAATGAAAATGTTTCAGCTCTGACTGATACTTTACTTTTGTAAATTATATTGAGATGGAAAGGGCCAAGCCTGATTGTTTAAGGGGAGAACTACACTGAGATAAACTTGACAGTGGTGCTGGCAATAAGAAATTCCAAAAGGACAATTTGAGAACAGAGGAGTTGCATCATTCACCATCTCTGTACAAGAAGATTACACTTTTAGTGTCAGCCTATGAGGCCTTAGGTTTTAATTTATTAAGAAAAGCTGAAAATTTCCAAACGTGACCATTGATACGTAGCTTTCACTGAGTACATGTTGTCTCTGGGCTTACAGATATGGAAGATATACGGACCAACTGTCACATTGATCAGTTAAGAGTTATGGACAGTATTATACTTATTTTGTCTTATATTCTTTGAACATTTTCTAATCCTTGGAACACAATGATTTTTTTTCTGGTTTCTCTTAGCCTTCTTAGGTATTATTTCCCAATCAAATCTATGGTCATTTTCTTTTTCCCACTCAAAAGTATTTTTTTCTGCAAACAGTACTGAAATAAAATAGCTATGGAAAAATTATGCTGTAATTCAAACCACTGTTACCTCAGAAGAAAAGCCAATTTCAAGACAAGACTTTAAAAAATTGTTTTCTGACCCACTACTGTCATGGATGATAACATAAGCAACACGCAGGTTGTTTATAAAGACAAAAAAAAAAATCAAATTTACCAATTATACAAGGAAATAAGTTTCCTTTGTCTTATTATTTAAAAAAGAAAAGGAGTACTATTGGAAACACGACTATAAGAACAAACCACTGTCGGTATGTCCTAGTTTGATGTTAGAAATGAGACTGTACAATATGTTTAGCATTTCTGAAACTTTGAATTATTAAATAATTAATGTCAATCCATATTTTAATATAGACAGAGTCCAGAGACTTAATTTTTACCCTGGAACAAATATAGAGATTTAATTCTCAGTCAAGCAAACAAAGTTTCAAGAACTTGATATTTTCTCATCGTAGTTTATTTGTGCCTTAGCAAAATAACTTCAGGGCAAATTTTTCATCATAATACCTACAGTATTTTATTTCAGAATTGGTTGTCATTCTCCAAGTTTTTCACTTTATTTTCTTACTATTTCAATAGTACGGTCTTGTTTTAATACAAATTCCTGTATATTCATCTAAAAATGAGTTAGGTAAAAAAGTAATAAGAGGAAATATAGTGACTTTTTATTGCAATAAAGCCAGCTGAAATAAAATTTTAATTCAATCACTGTTTTAATCACTTTTCTAGAAATGACTATGCAGAATATAAACGCCAGTGCAGTCCATGTTATATCAGCAAGTTGCCAACTTTATTCTAATAACACGATCAAATTTTTTTTTATAAAGAAAGCTACACTTACATGATGACTAACTGAGAAAAAGGAAAGTTTTTATGAGTTATCAGCACTTGGGCTTTTCATGCCTGTTACGTAGTAGTGCCCTTTCTCTCTCTTGCCCAGTGATTCTGTGTATCATACAAGTATATATTTTAAGGCATTGATGACTTGAATTCAGTAATGGAAAAAATATTGATCAAACACAATTACTTTTGTGCTCTTAGTCATACAATTGTTATGACAAGTAGTTATGACTAATTTAAAGAAAAGTTTTCCAGGGATTAATCCTGTGATAAATTTTGCTTCATATTTAAAAATAATTTTAAACTTAAAAGAATCGGTACTCAATATAACAGTTAAATTTGAGAGGTGTGAAGAAAGAAGGATGATTACTATATTTAAATCATGATTTTAGTAGATTTTCACTATCAGGAAAAAAGTTATCAAATGTTTAAAAAGAGAATAAAGCTAAAATACAAATGCACAGAAACATGTCTATGGAGTGTCTCTTACATGCTAGAGCTTCGGGGATGCAGTCTCAGTTATATCTAATTTAGTGCTTTTAACTTTTCTAGGGGAATATGTCTATACCTTTATTTTGGTGCTAGGAAAGTTAGCCTACATAGAGTAATAAGTAGATGACCCAAGATTCTAAATTACCTCTTTTCACTCAAGTCTGTGCTTATTTTACTAAACCAAGTGAGGAGGCAAACAACACAAAATTAAAAGTCAATATCAAACAATATGACTAGAAGCCAGACCAAAAAAAGCACTCAATAATTTTGATATTTAGTATTTTGCATAAATATTGAATATCTGGTATGAATTCCTAAAAGTTATGATATTTCCTCATAGAAAATAAGCCCAAAAAATTAAATCAAAGTCCTATGACTTCACATTAAAAAATTAGAAAACTAGACATATAAAACCCCTCTGATTAGACGCGTAGAAGTCTATATAAATCATATATAAACTGATAATCCTTACAAAAATCTACTATGTTCATGAATCAAAATACTCAATATTAAGAAATTAATTCTTCCAAAATTGATTGATACATTCAGTGTAATCACAATAAAAATCTCAGTAGATTTTTAAAAATAAATTAAGATTCTGCTTCTAAAATTCAAATGGGAGAGAACGGGGTAAGATGGCTGACTAGGTGCAGTTGGGAGTAACATCTGCCACCAAGGGACCAGGACATTGGGCAGACTGGTGCACTCCTAGCAGATCTTCAGAGGAAAGGCATTGAGAGTGGATGAAGGGAAGACACAAATGCTGGGCTGAAGGGGGAGGATGCTGGGAACCTTGCATGGGGCTACTACACTCTGGGACTCCTTCCTAGCCCCCAAGGACTCCTGGAGAAGGGGTGAGTAGGCAAAGAGCCACCTGCTCTGGCCACAGGCCTCTGGAATTCTGGCAGCAGGAGACCCTACAACCCCCCTGGATGCTTGAGCTGGCAGGAAGAGCTGCCTTGAGAAGTTTCAGAGTCAAAACTCCAGCCTGTACAGAGCCCAGAGGATTTGGTGCCAGAGGGTCTGTAGTGGAGCACAGCCAGAGAAGCATATCTTCCAAGGCCTACTTTCGTTCTCTAATAGACTATAGCCATAGTCAAACTGTATGACCTGAACAGTGCAAGGCAGTCCTGCTGATGAGACAGGTGCAGTCCAACATGAGCACCCTTTAGTCTGCTCATCTCTCCCAGGGCCCTTGTCCTGCAGTGCAGCCTCGAATGCCCAGATGGGGTGCTTCCTGGGGGCCCACATCATAGCTCCTGCACTGGCAGTCCTTACTTGACCACTAGAGAGCTCCAGCCGAGCAGCCACCAGACATGCACACCAGCCAGTGCCCTCCCACACCAGAATCTCCACCATGCTCTTTGCCTACATGTACTCGCCGGCAGCCACCCCCTACATTGCTTTGCCGGCACATGTGTGCATGGGTGAACCTTTCTTCCCCTTACCTGCCAGCTCATGTGTGCATGTGCACCTCGCCATGCCACTGTTGCTGGCATGAGGGCACCCTACTCTCCCAGCTCCCCACTAAGCCACCATTCCCATCAGAGTGTTTGCAGGCATAGAGACTGCCAGTCCCATGCCTGCCAGCACTTTGCCCAGTGCCAACACTGCTGCCAGTACAAAACTACATGGGGGAGCACTGGACCCACTCCCACCCTGAGTGGCATCTGCCAATCACATAAACACATTCACAGATGGCACACACAGTCCCATGTCCATCAATGCCTTGCCTCCATGCTAACACCACTGCAACTGTGAACATGCACACAGATACTGCTGGGGCCCCCTGAACCCCTGCACCATGCTGACACCTGTGGCTGCTGTGAGCACCTGCACAGAGGTCAGCACTCTTGCACCTACCAGCACCCCACTGCACTGCCACTGAGCACTACCACTACTGTTGGCAGGTGAAAATGAGAATGGATCCTGTTGCCAACCTCACCGTAAAGTGCTTTGGTTAGCACTACCCATTGGAATGTTGTGACCAGTGGTCAGGGAACCTTGGCCCCTTCAGCACAGCAGGTTTCTAGGCTCTGGGGTGATAGAACCAAGCTAGGACCCAATACCCACCACCCAGAGTTAGAGCATGCAGTCCAGGAGTCCTGAACTGATCCTTTCCCCACTAAATTCCTCCAGAAATAAAGCGAGTCAACTGAACTCACCTTACACCACAATCAAACCTTCAAGGACATCAAATAGGATTTACAAAAAAAAAGCCATCCAAAGCTCAACAACCTCAAAGATTGAAGGAACATCAGCTCACGAAGATGAGAAAGAGCTAGGGCAAGAACTCTGGCATCTTGAAAAGCTAGAGTGTCGGCTTACCTCCAAATGACCATACTAGTTCCCCAGAAATAGTTCTTAACCAAGCTGAGATGGTTGGAATGACAGAAATAGAATTCAGAATATGGATAAGAAGAAAGATTATCAACATACAGGAGTAAGTCAAAATCCAATCCCAGGAATCTAAGACATAAAATAAAATGATACAGGAGCTGACAGACAAACTGGCTATTGTAAGAAAGAACCCAATCAATCTGAGAGAGCTAAAAAGCACTATATAAATTTAATAATGCAATCACAAGTATTAGCATTAGAACTAATGCTAATCAAGCTGAGGAAAGATTTGCAGATCTTGAAGACTGGCTCTCTGAAATAACTCAGTAAGAGAAAAATAAGAAAAAACAATAAAGAGGAATAAACAAAACCTCTGAGAAATATGAGATTATCTAGAGAGACCTATGTACAACTCACTGGCATGCCTGAGAGAGAGGGAAGGAAACCAAGCAACTTGGAAAACATATTTCAAGATATCATCCATGAAAATTTTCCCAACCTTGCTGGAAAGTCCAACATTCAAATTCAAGAAATGCAGAGAATCCCTGCAAAATACTACACAAGAAGACCATCCCTGAGACACAGTCATTATATTCTTCAAGGCTGTAGTGAAACCCATCAGTATGCTCTTTTTAAGAGACCCATCTTACATGCAGTGACAACCATTGGCTCAAAGTAATGGGATGGAGAAAAATCTACCAAGCAAATAGACAACAGGGAAAAGCAAGGATTGCTATTCTAATTTCAGAAAAAACAGACCTCAACAAAGATCAGAAAAGACAAAAAGGGGCATTATATAATGGTTGTATTAGACCGTTCTCATGCTGCTATGAAGAAATACCTGGAACTGGGTAATTTATAAAGAAAAGAGGTTTAATTGACTCACAGTTCTGCATGGCTGGGGAGGCCTCAGGAAACTTACAATCATGACAGAAGGCACCTCTTCACAGGGCAGCAAGAGAGAGAATGAGAGCTGAGCAGAGGGAAAAGCCCTTTATAAAACCATCACCCCCATGATCTCATTACCTCCCACCAGGTCCCGCCCATGACACATGAGGATTATGGGAACTACAATTCAAGATGCAATTTGGGCGGAGACACAGCACGGACAAACCACATCAATGGGAAAGGACTAAATTCAACAAGAAGACCTAACTATCCTAAATATAAATGCATTCAACACTGGAGCACCCAGATTTATCAAGCAAGTTCTTAGAGATGTGTGAAGAGATTTAGATAACCACACGATGATAGTGGGAGACTTTAACACCCCATTGACAGTATTAGACAGCTCATCAAGGCAGAAAACTAACAAAGATATTCGGGACCTTAACCCAACACTTGATGAAAAGGACCTAATAGACATCTACAGAACTCTCCACTTAAAAACAACAGAATTTACGTTCTTGTCATCTGCATATGGCACATACTCTAAAATCGACCACACAATTGAGCATTAAATAACTCTCAGCAAATTCAAAAAAACCTGAAATCATACCAACCACATTCTCAGACAACAGTGCAATAAAAATAGGAATCAATGTTAAGGAAATTGCTCAAAACCATACAATTAAATAAAAATTAAACAACCTTGATCCTGAATGACTTCTGAGTAAATAGTGAAATTAAGGCAGAAACCAAAAAATTCTCTGAAACTAATAAGAAAAAAGATACAACATACCAGAATCTCTAGAACATGCCAAAGCAGTGTTAAGTGCAGCATCTCTGGGACACAGCCAAAACAGTGTTAAACTCCCACATCAAAAAGTTAGAAAGATCTCAAATTAACAACTTAACATCATAACCGGAAGAACTAGAGAATTAAGAGCAAACTAATCCCAAAGCTAGCAGAAGACAAGAAATAACCAAAATCAGAGCTGAACTGAAGGAAATGAAGATGCAAAAAAACGTACAAAAGATCAACAAATCCAAGAGCTAGTTCCTTGAAAGAATTAATAAGCAACACATGTCACTAGCTAGACTAATAAATAAAGAGAAGATCCAAATAAACACAATCAGGAATAACAAAGGCGACATTACCATTCACCCCACAGAAATGCAAAAAACCCTCGAAGACTATTACAAACATCTCTATGCACAAAATCTAGAAAACCAAGAAGAAATGGATAAATTTCTGGAAACATATTAATGCAGTCTTCAGAAATTAAACCAGGAAGAGACTGAATTCCTAAACACACCAATAATAAATTTTGAAATTGAATCAGTAATAAAAAGCCTACCAATCAGAAAAAGCTCAGTACCATGTGGATTTACGGCCAAATTCTAATTTCTTATAAGGAAGAGCTGGTATCATTCCTCCTGAAACAACTCCAAAAATGGAGTAAGAGAGACTGCTTCATAACTCATACTATGAAGCCAGCATCATCCTGATTCCAAAACCTGACAGAGACACACACAAAAAAATAAGCTTCAGGCCAATATCCTTAATGAACATAGATGCAAAAATACTCAACAAAACACTAGCAAACTGAATCTAGCAGCATATCAAAAAGCTAATCAACCATGATCAAGTAGGCTTTATCCTGAGATGCAAGGTTGTTTCAACATATGGAAATCAATAAATATTATTCACCACATAAACAGAACTAAAAATAAAAACCACATGATCTTCTTAATAGGTGCAGAAAAGGTTTTCACGTTAAAAACCCTCAACAAACTAGGCACTGAAGAAACATGCTCCATAATAATAAGAGCCATCTATGAAAAATCCACAGCCAACATCATACTGAATGGGCAAAAGCTGGAAACATTCCCCTTGAAAATCAGCATAAGACAAGGATCCTCACTCTCATCACTCCTATTCAACATAGTACTGGAAGTACTAGCTAGAGCAACCAGGCAAGAGAAAGATATAAAAGGCATCCAAATAGAAAGAGAGAAAATCACTCTCTCTCTCTTCAGAGATGATATAATTTATACCTAGGAAACCCCACCATCTCTATCCAAAAGCTCTTTCATCTAATACACAACTTAAGCAAAGTTTCAGGATACAAAATCAATGTTCAAAAATTGGTAGCATTCCTATACACCAGCAACATTCAAGCTGAGAGTCAAATCAAGAACATAATCCCATTCACAATAGCCATAATTAGAATAAAATACCTAGCAATACAGCAAACCAAGGAGGTGAAAGATCTCTACAATGAGAATTATAAAACACTGCTCAAAGGAATCAGCGACATCAAGAAATAGAAAAACATTCCATGCTCATGGATAGGAAGAATCAATATTGTCAAAATGGCCACACTGCCCAAAGCAATCTACGGATTACATGCTATTTCTGTCAAACTACCAATGACATTCTTCACAGAATTAGAAAAAAATAACTATTTTAAAATTTAAATTTAATTTAAAATTCATATGAAACCAAACAAGAGCCCAAATAGCCAAGGCAATCCTAAACAGAAAGAACAAAGCTGGAGGCATTACCCTACTTCGAACTATACTACAAGACTGCAGTAACCAACACATGATGGCACTGATGTGAAAACAGACACATAAACCAATGAAAAAGAATAGAGAACACTAAAATAGTGCCACATATCTACAACCATCTGATCTTCAACAAAATTGACAAAGCAAGCAATGGGGAAAGAACTCCCTATTCAATAAATGGTGCTGGGATAATTTGCTAGCCATAGGCAGAAAACTGATGAGGACTCCTTCCTTGTGCCATGTGCAAAAATTAACTCAAGTGCACTAAAGACTTAAATATAAAACCAAAAACTTTTTTATAGGGTTTTTATCCCTGGAAGACAACCTAGGAAATACCATTCTGGACATAGGACCTGACAAAGACTGCATGACAAAGATGCCAAAAGCAATTGCAACAAAAACAAAAAATAACTACTGGGACCTAATTAAACGATAGAGCTTCTGCACAGCAAAAGAAACTATCATCAGAGTAAACAGACAACCTACAGAATGGGAGAAAATATGTTTAAGCTATGCATCTGACAAAGGTCTAATATCCAAAATCTGTAAAGAACTTAAACAAATTTAAAAGCAAACAACAAATAACCCCATTAAAAAGTGGGCAATGGACATGAACAGACACTTTTCAAAAGAAGCCATTCATGTGGCCAATGAGCATGTGAAAAAATGCTCGACATCACTCATAAATAGAGAAATGCAAATCAAAACCACAGTGAGATACTACCTCACACTAGTCAGAATAGCTATTATTAAAAAGTCAAAAAATAAAAGATGCTAGTGAGACTGTGGAGAAAAAGGAATGTTTATGCACTGCTGGTGGGAGTGTAAATTAGTTCAGCCATTGTGGAAGGCAGTTTGATGATTTCTCAAAGAATTTAAAAAAGAATTACCAATTGACCCAGCAATCCCATTATTGAGTGTATACCCGAGGGAATATAAATTTTTCTGTCTTAAAGATATACACACATATGTGCTCATTGCAGCACTAGTCACAATAGCAAAGACATGGAATCAACCTAAAAGCCTATCAATGGTGGACTGGATAAAGAGAACATG
This sequence comes from Homo sapiens, assembly GCF_000001405.40. Taxonomy (NCBI): domain Eukaryota; kingdom Metazoa; phylum Chordata; class Mammalia; order Primates; family Hominidae; genus Homo; species Homo sapiens. The sequence continues at coordinate 188,108,639 of NC_000002.12, forward strand.
GTACATATACACCATGGAATACTGTGCAGCCATAAAAGAGCGTAAGATCATGTCCTTTGAAGCAACATGAATGGAGCTGGAGGCTATTATCCTAAGTGAAATAACACAAGAAGAGAAAACCAAATACTGTATGTTCTTACTTATAAATGGAAGCTAAATATTGAGTACATATGGACACAAAAAAGGGAACAGTCACCAGGGCCTACTTGAGGTTGGAGAGTAGGAGGAGGGTGAGGATCAAAAAACTACCATTGGCTACTATGGTTATTACTTGGGTGATGAAATCTGTACACCAAATCCCATAACATGCAACTTACCTATATAACAAACCTATTCATGTATCCCTGAACTTAAAATAAAAGTTAAAAAAATTCAAATGAAAATTCAAAACACAAAAAAAACCTTAGAAGGACCAAGATAACTTTGGGAAAAAAATGGAGAACTTAAATGGCTGATGTAGAGATATATTTTCAAGGTAGAGTAATGAAGGCATGGTGGTTTTGGTGTCAAGATAGAAAAGTGGAATAGAATTGAAAGTCCATAAAATGGACTGATAGAACAAAATGTAATCTTGGTTTTAGCAAAAATGTCTTTGTCACAACACCAAAAACATAATGCATAAAAGAAGAAAACATTGGTAAATTCAACAAAATTAAGAGCTTCTGTTTTTCCAAAAATGTTATTAATGGATTGGAAATATAAGCCACAGATTTAGAGAAAATATTTGCAAATCCAGATCTAATAAAGGCCTTATATCTACAAATATATAAGGAACTTCCAAAACTCAACGATAAGGAAATAACTTTTAATGAAGAGAGAAGCTCTAAACATACATTTCACAAAAGAAATATAAATGGTAAACAAGCACATGAAATAATCCTAAAATATCACTAGACATCAAAGAAAAAATAAAAGCTCAATGAGCCACTCACCTAATACAGTATCTCAATTTCAAAAGACTGATCATTCCTAGTATTGGCAAGGATGTGGTGCCACTGGACCTCTCATAACAGATTGGTGGGAATGTAAAATGATACCTACAACTACTTTTTCTTTTTTTCCCCCTCACATTTTATGCTTTCTCTAGTTTTAATTGAACATTCTATATGATTCAATTTTATCTTCCTTCTTGCTGTATCATTTATAATCCTTTAAAAATATTTTTAGTAGTTTCCCTAAGCTTTACAGCACACTTTAAAATAATTTGAACTCACCTTCAAAGAATACTATACCATGTCTTGTGTAGTGTGGGAATCTCATAACAGTATTCTCAGTCCTCTCTCTCGACCTGGTGACATTGCTGTCTGTCTTATCCATACTTATGTCATGTTTATCCATACACTGTAATTAGCTATATGTTGCTACTATTACAGCTTCAAACAGCTATCTTTTAGAGCAATAAAAAATAAGAAAAATACACAATTTTATTTTACCTTTATTTCTTTTGTGATACTCTCTCTTTCTATATGTAGTTCCAAGTTTCTGACCAGTATCATTTTCCTTCTGCCTGAAGAACTTTTAGCGTTTCTTTCAGGCAGCATCTGCAAGTGATGCATTTCCACAGGTTTTGCTTGTATAAGAAAGTATTTCTTCTTTGGTTTTGGAGGATACTTTCACTGGATATAATTTTCTTTTCAAGACTTTGTCTTTTACAGTGTAAATATGATTTTTTTTTTTTTTTGCTAGGTGTGATGGGTCACACTCACAATCCCAGCAGTTTGGGAGACCAAGGCAGGCAGATTGCTTGAGCCCAGGAGATTAAGACTTGGGAAACATGGAAAAAACCCATCTCTACCAAAAAACAAACAAACAAACAAACAAAAAACAAAAAACAAAACAAAACAAAATTAGCCAGGTCTGGTGGTGCACAGCTGCTCAGGAGGCTGATGTGGGAGGATCACCTGAGACCCAGGAGGTCTAGGCTGCAGTGAGCCGTGATCATGCCACCGCACTCCATCTTGGTTGACAGAGCAAGACTCTAAAAAAAAAAAAAAATCCTTAGTTGAATTTTTGTTGTTTTTTAGTTTGTTGGTTTGAAGTATTTATTCTCCTTGGGTTTTCTGAGCTTGCTAAATCTGGTTTGGTATGTGCCATTAATTGTGAAAATTTCTCACTCACTATTATTTCAAATACTATAGTCCTTTCCTCATTCAGAATTCACTTGTGCCATTTTGGGAACAGTGTTGAAAGGAAGGAGAGTCAACTAATATGTGAGGATCTGTCTATAAAAATGCGTAGTTATGTGGCTGGCTCAGGGTGACCCCTCTGCCTGCTGAAAGTACAGGTGTCCTGATTGATCCTGTCACTGGCCATTTCAAAGTGTTGCCTCTATCATGCAGTATATTCAAAATTCTTCAGGCAGGCTGCTGAGCATCCTTTATACCATCTCAGATGTTAGAAAGTCTGATGTTGGAGGTCTCTTGGATTCCCTTACTGGGCTGTTATAAACCTCCCAGAGTCTTCTCAAAATTACGGGAAACATGCCAGTGGTCCACCACTTATTACTTATCTGGCTGTGGTCAAGTGTCTTGTCCTCTCTTGCGCCTCAGTTATGGCAATAGGCATAATTTAGAACTAAAGAATGTTTCTTTATTGCTTTCAACTGTGACCTATTTCTAGAATAATCTAACATTTCCTGCTAACCCGTAGCAGAGGGCACATCAGAAAAGACGTGTATTATGAGTCCTTCACACACCACTGTTAAGGACAGAGAATATTAAAAATTGCTTTGCAGAGTTAGCTCAGCATAACATTTGGATTTTTAGTACTTCTGAGAAAGAAAAAGCATGTCAACCTCATCTACACTAGCATACGATTGAGGAGATCATTCTAGTCTGCACTAGCAGAATTTAGAGGTGAAGATCACCTGGAATTAAATCCTGTTCCACTACTTACTGTTTGTCCCTATCAAACAAGTTAAATTCTCCATGTTTCTTTTTCCCCATGTACATAGTTAGTAAAGGTAAATTAATCATAAAGTTTTAGAGATTATTTTAAAAGTAATTCATGTAAAATGATTAGAAAAATATCTGACACACAGAAAATACTAAATAATAGCTTTTTCAACATTGAAAAAATCTAAGGATATTAAATATCTTCACTAATTACAGAGAACATCTCAACAATGACCTGGTGGGCAAATTAAATACATAATTTATGAGAATCGTGGAACAACTTAAGAGTAGGCAGTGACATCTGCATGGCATTGAATTTTATACTAAAAAAGGGGCTTATTTATTTAGAATAAATAACTACTTTTTCTGGTTAAGCATTGAAAAGAACAGCTAATATTGTGAGTTACAGTACATTATGAGTTATAAATAGCTAAACAAATTACTAATTGCAGAGTTGATTATTATATATTACTAATTTGAAATTTATTCTAAGTAGTTGTTCCTGAGATTACACATCAAATACATGTGAAAATCAAGATCTAAATACACATTTGAACTTTAGAAGAACTTAACTTACATATTGTAAGATGAAAGGTTTAGTTTCTAATTAAAGCAAATTTGGTTTTGTAAGAGTAGTATGTAAAACACTGCCCTGGCCCGGTGCGGTGGCTCACGCCTGTAATTGCAACACTTTAGGAGGCCAAGGTGGGCAGATCCCTTGGGGTCAGGAGTTCGAGACAAGCCTGGCCAACATGGTGAAATTCTTTCCGTATTAAAAATACAGGCCAGGCGCGGTGGCTCACGCCTGTAATCCCAGCACTTTGGGAGGCCAAGGCGGGCGGATCACCTGAGGTCCAGAGTTCGACACCAGCCTGACCAACATGGAGAAACCCGTCTCTACTAAAAATACAAAATTAGCCGGGCATGGTGGTGCATGCCTGTAATCCCAGCTACTCCGGAGGCTGAGGCAGGAGAATGGCTTGAACCTGGGAGGCGGAGGTTGCTGTGAGCTGAGATCGCGCCATTGCACTCCAGTCTGGGCAACAAGAGTGAAACTCCGTCTCAAAAAAAAAAAAAAAAAAAAAATACAAAAATTAGCCGGACGTGGTGGTGGGCACCTGTAATCCCAGCTACTCAGGAAGCTGAGGCAGGAGAATCGCTTGAACCCGGGAGGTGGAGGTCGCAGTGAGCTGAGATGGCGCCACTGCACTCCGGCCTGGGCGATGGAGCGAGACTCCGTCTCAAAACAAAAACAAAAACAAACAAAACAAACACTGCCCTACATTAACTATGAGAATTACAGAGAAACTTAATTTTCTACAAATATTTAAAAGAAAGGAAAGGAAGAAAGGAAGGAGAAAAAAAGGAAAGAATACTGAGTAGAACATTTTTACTTAAACTCTGTCTTGATAATCTCTAAGCCAGCAGTAGAACTTATTGGCTTCAATGTATTATTACATTCACTTATTTTTACCCGTTAAATATTTATTAATCATGTCTGTGGAGTTAACATTTGGTTACCAATCCATTAGATTTAGCCCATGCTGCTCTTCATGATCCTTCACTGTTGCACATTTAAAGAAACAGCAGGCAAGATAATCTCGTCAGAGTCTATCCACAAGACAAAATCGATCAAATGCAGGCCAACTCCCCACAGTTTGTTTTCTTTTCTATTTTTTTTTTAATCCTGAAAGAGATTAATTGTGTCTAAATTTCTTTCTGGTCTCCTGATGCTGAGAAATAAGAGAAAAATAGTGGTATTTTTGTTTCATTTCGTTTTGTTTTGGCGTGAAAATATTTGAAGATATGTGAAACTCCCCATTTTCCTTTTATAACATTCAAATTTTGGATTATAAAAGCATAGCTTACCCAATATCTTCACATTAAACACATATTTGGTCAACCAATCAAGAGTATGAAATGTACCAAACTGGTTAAATATTATCTCAAATCTAAAATTGTTGACATCCTAAAAATGTTTTCTGACTAATTAAATTATGTTTAACAATGGAGCTTAAAAAAACAAGGTTCCATTTTGATTATTAGTGTTAATGAACACAATATAAATTAAAATACAAATTCAATTAAATCTAAAGAAAACTTCATCTTTAATCTCCATATAGCAATGAATTCAAGATATTTTTCTTCATGGAACATATATTATTTTCAATATATTTTACAAGTTCAAATACTTTCTAAAACAAAGACATCAGACTCCATCACACAGAATTAACCTTGTAATCCTGGCTAGGGACAACTAAGTCAATTACAGAACTGAATCAAGTAACCTAAATGAAAGAAGAAACCCTTTGTTTTAGAGAAGAAAGGTGATTTCTCCCTTTGAGTGAAGCAGCAGCTTCTCAGCTCTAAATAATTGTTGTGTGAGGCTGTAAGAATGTCAGAATATGGAATGTAGATAAATCTTCACGTTTTCATAAGAAACTGGAAACAGAGAACTTTCCTGCTTTTTAATGTTGGCAATAATTCTAAAGAATTTTAATTATGATTGAGAACAAACAAAATATCCCTGAAGGCCAAATTAAACCAGCTGGTGACCAGTTGGTGAGTCCACACCGACATTCAACATATCTTCCTGCCTCTGAAGGTGCTCATAACCTCCTCTCAGTTGAGAATACACTTTCCACTCAGATTGCCACATATGAATCTGCCCAGATAAACATCTACTGTCTGCAAGAGCTCTTTCTCATGTGTTAAAAATGGAAACAATGCCTGCTTCCTCAGAGTTTGTCCTCACTTCCCCTGTGCTTGCTACCACTCTTATCACATATCTTGAAAATAATTGTGTCTTATATCTATGCTGATTTGAAAGCCAGAAAGGTAGGAATGATTCTTATAAAATTTAATATCTACACTCATTTAGTACAATATCTTGCACATTTAAAAATAAAGGTTAAGGCATAAAGAAGGAATGAATTCTAGCATTTGTCTTTTTGAAATGAGCTAATACAGAGTGGTGAATGTCAAATAGAAACATAATAATTTCTAACTTTTTAAAGCATAATTGCATAATATAAAGGACATATTTTTAACATCACCTGAATTGGGGGGATAAGATATTGAGGTAATGGGGCATAGGTAAGCAGAGACAAATAGAAATCTAGGCTTGGTCCATTTTTAACAACTGCCAGTAACAGTTCTAAGAATAATCCAGTAACAGTTCTAAGAATAATCCTTTAAATTAATACTTTATAAATTATAATGCCTAAAATGATTTTAAAAAGCAAATTTTTCAAACTAAAATTTGAAATGATGGAAATATATTGTAATACAAATTATATGGCTTTATATAACTAGATTGTATTCAAATAGCAGTCTAAAATGGCTCATTACCTTTCTGTGAATTATTTGGTATTGAACTTCAGTTAGACAATGACACTGGTTCATTTCTTAAGCTCTGAATTATGGAAAAACCTTTATTGAAGAAGAGTCCTACCTCTAACCTTTCCCATTGTGCTATATTTTAAACCTAACACAAAGAACGAAAGTAACAAGATGCAAGAATAGGCACTAAAATCCCTTCTAAAGAGGAAATATACAGTGTGGTTTTTATTTTTTATTTATTTATTTTTATTTTCATTTTTTTGAGACGGAGTCTTGCTCTGTTGCTCAGGCTGGAGTGCAGTGGCACGATCTCGGCCAGCTGCTAGCCCCGCCTCCTGGGTTCGCGCCATTCTCCTGCCTCAGCTTCCCGAGTAGCTGGGACCACGGGCACCCGCCACCATGCCCGGCTAATTTTTTGTATTTTTAGTACAGATAGGGCTTCACCGTGTTAGCCAGGATGGTCTTGATGCTGACCTCGTGATCCGCCCGCCTCGGCCTCCCAAAGTGCTGGGATTACAAGCGTGAGCCACCGCGCCCGGCCAGTGTGGTTTTTATTAATAATTATAAATTTATTTAAAAAACTAACAGTAGCACAATACATTTAGTAACTACATGTGGAGTTCATTTATGGAAGTGAATGTCTCCAACAACTCATAGGAAATAAAACCTTGACAAGCTATATTATTAGTGCAGCAAGCTCTTAAAAAATACATTTCAAGGTAATCTTTAGACTAGACAATGGCAAAATTCTAATGTTTAGTTAGAACAACAATATTTCTTAATTTTAGATAGAATGATATAGTTTACAAAGTATTTCTCATGTATTACCTCACTTGATAAATACTATTTGGTAAGGAGAAAAGGCAAAAGCTGATATTCATTTTAGAATGGAATGAAAAAATAGATGACTTGGTGAATTTTGACTATTAGCAAGTACTGGAGACAGGGCTAGACCCCAGGTCTCCTGATAGTATCTTTCAGATTTCCATTAAACCCTTTAGCTTGTCACAGGTTTAGAGTTCAATCATAGAGTACATTAATATACCTTTGCAGCAAGAGTAGGGGTTTATCTAATTCTCTTTTTTAAATTACATACAATTTTACTAAAACTACTGAACAAAAATTAAAATTCATTTCTGCATAATAGGACCTGGTTGGAGCATTTGTTAGTATTTTGTTGGCATTGACTCTAACTCTTTCCTAAGGGTTCTAGGTTTCTTTCTATTGGAGAAGGGAAACTGAATCTTCTCAGCTCCATTTTTGGAGCAAGTTACTTGGGTTAATCCAATCAAGACTTCTTTTTCCTGTTTCCTTCTACCCTGAGTATAACTAGACAAAACTGTAGCCCTAGAAGCATTGGTCTCCACCTAAAATGAAGCCAGTATCTTTTAAGGTAAATCACAGAGATAGAAATGAGGCTTTTAGTGACATCATTGAGCCACTAGATCAGGCTTTGCATGATCTGCTTCTGTTACAAGAGCCAGTAAATTGGGCAAGTTCAAGCTGGCTTTTTAGTTATTGCCAACTGTAAACATTCTAATTGTTGATGAATTTATCAGTTCTAAGCTGAAAGTACTTCCAGTCTCTTCAGTGTTTAAAAGAAATCACTGTCAGAGATATGACCCAAATCCTCCATACTGCTGTCAGTGAACTTACTTTGCTCACTGAACTTTTTTTATGTACAGATCCCTGTTCAAGGTCTGATTTCTTGTTGAATCCTCAGTGAAGTCAACGACTGGCTATCATCTCTGTTGAAGGAATCTTTGCTTACTTTTTAATTCATACTATAGTATCAGTTCTTCCAACTCAATAATCTCAATCTTTTAGCTTTTCTCATAGGACTTATTTTTAAGACTTTTAACTTACCTCTATGGGTGACTTTGATTTCTCCTTAATGAATCCACATCATTATTAAGCGACCCCTAGAAACTGACAAAATACAAATCTTGAAATCTGTGAAATATTTTGCACAACATAAATCGGAAAAATCTATACATTTTTGAGAATATACCCTCCTTGTTATGAAACTTGTTTTTCTGATATTACACTATCTGAAAGAAAGTTTCTCTGTATTTATTTTATAGAACACTTCTCACTAGTAGCTTTTGTTTAAAATAATAATGATTGGCTCTTAAATTGCAAGAAATAATGTCTTTGAGCATTGTTTCTTATTTATTCATTTTTTAAAATCTTCCTTCCACATTTTTCATAATGTATTTCTTAATAGATACTCAATAAATACTTTTTAAATGAATCACCAAATTTTCTTAATGGTGATCACTTTCATCATTACAGAGTAAGCAAAACAATATTTTTGGTAAATAATACAGGACTGGTAAACATTTTTAATATTAATTCATGATGTGTCAATGAATACCTATCCTTTAGTGGAGCTATTAACAGCAATAATAAATATTAATGATAGCCACCACTTATTGGAAACTTATGATGAGCCAGGCACTATTCCAAATTATTTACCTGATTAATTATTCACTTAACACCTATAATTACTCTATGAGGGACACATTATCATTTTACCCATTTCACAGAGAAGGAAACAAAGTACCTTAAGTTTCTATATAAAACTATTTAAGACTCTTGAATAGGGGTTATACAACTAATAATTTGCCATGCCAAGATTCAAATCCTGGCAGTCTAGCAAAATGAGATATCCCATAGAATCTGGGAGCATACACAATTGGCATCCTATAGGAAGTACAGAAGACTGCAGAAAAAATAAAAAGAATATAAAATGCAGGCAAATAACTACCTGCAAAATTTATTCTATGCTGTACTGTTCTGCCTCCTTTTCATATCTCCAACAATTTCCTGACTCTAACAACATGTAGTTTTCTGCTACCACTCTCTGAGAAGTTGTCGATATCATCTGTGGTTTTACATGTTCCTGGCTTATAAACTATCTTTTCTATCCCCTAATGTGTGGATTTTTTTCCTCTTTATGGCTCAACTTATCTGGTAATCTGGCAGACTTGAACGTCCTGGTAGCCTGACATTCCCATCTTCCTGATTCATGACTGGCTGCTTGAGAGGGAGTTTTATAAAAGTAACACCATCAGTTATCTTAGTGGCCTCCAGAGTCCAAACTACAGGACTTTGGGTTAGCTCCAGTTTTCAGGATTCTTGATGTATGGCATTTGAAATTTACCATGTAGTTATTAATTGTCCAGAAAAGTTGCCAAGAGTGGTAATTTAAGATGGCTCTTCCTTCTCTTTCCAGAGCTAAATTGAAGTAAAGAAATAAGTCCTCAGAATAAGGAAAAGTGGAAATGAATATAGAACCAATAGTTATCAAGTGATTATTATTCGATAGAAACTAGGTATTTTTCTCGTTGAAGAGCAGAATATTCTGACCATCTTGGGGTAACCTGGTTATCAGAAGTAAGTATGGATCAGAGTTCATCGCTTTGCCCAGTTTTTCACAGGACTTCCCAGAGTTACTCCAATACTTTTAAATGAGGCTTGGAGAGGAGGGAGTTTACAACCAGGGCATAACTCAAGTCCAGGCTTAACTGGCAAACAGGTCCTAACTATAAACCAGAACTTCAAGTTGCCTCTCCTATTTGTTATCACATCAATTTGAAAGAGAATAGAAAACTTTAAGTTTATATTCTACCTATCCTAAAATTCAGTATAATTATGCTTTGTTACAACTTACCACAAATAGATTTTCACCTAATTATCTTAAGAATGTTATTACTGACTATAATTGTATGGCTCTGTTGCAATGTTATTCAGATACTTGGCTCCAAATTCTGGAATGAATGAACAGGAAAACAAATGACCTAACCGAGAACATAATTTAGTTTATTTGGCTGTTGATAAGGGGCTTATATTTTTATAGCTGTTGGAATTTCATTGTCAGTACATTTATCCAATAGCTGTGCTTTTAATATCTAGGTGGTATATGATCACAAGTGTGTCTTCAAAAGAACACTCTATTAAGAATACCACTAATGCAACTATCAACTTTTTAAATGATTGATGCTTAGCCGACCTTTCAATGCTTTATCTCAGAACTTCTAAGAATATAAAATGACTAGATTCTTAATACAAGGCTACAATCACACAGCTATTGCCATGTGGAATAACAGAGTCAATCAAATAGTGATCTATGATTGTGCTAACAATAACATGGATACTAAGATATACCCACGTAGCCAACTGGCAGGCTAGAAAGCAAAAGGAAAAAATATTAAAACAAAGTTTGGGGTTTAAAACATCAGAGAAAAAAATTCTGTTTGCTCAAATGTTTCCCTTGCATATAAATCGCCATTATTAACACAATTTTTTCTTTAAAGTCAAGAAATTTTTTCTTCCTACGTAATTTTACCCACACCTCTTTGATTATATGCTCTAAGATAAAGAGCATAGTTGCCAGTAGAGGCTTAGGGATTTTATAAACATCAATCAATGTCACAGCTAGAAGTAGATAAATCAAGATATAGCAATAAAACCTAAAGTGTCTTCATTCTGACACTAGTCAGTTATTTCATTAAGAAACATTTTAGATTAAAAGTAAAATGCACTTATCAGAGTAGTAAATCTTTGTCAGAGCAGAAAGGTTTATGTTAACTATCTGGGGTAAAATAAGAGAAAAAAGAGAAAAGATGACATTCCTTTAATATCTCATATAAAAAGGGATTTTAGTCATAACCCTAATTCCTGCTTTTTCTCCTTCAGTCTAAACGAGCACAGCTCTTGGGCTCCGGAAATTCTGGTGAGCTGAGAGAGACAACCTATAAGGAGTTAGGAGTCTCACGTGCCTGTTGATTGGAAGCAGGTGCAGCAGTGTGCTCTCTATTAACCTACTCTTAGGCCCCAGCTTCATTCCATGTGTTCTAATGCAAGGGGTGAGGTGAGGGATAGGGAGTTCTGGGTTCTTTTCTTCTGAGAGAAGGATTATTAATGCAGGAACCACAGGATATGGAAGAGTAGCTGTATTAGTTCATTCTCACACAGCTATGAATAACTACCTGAGACTGGGTAATTCATAAAGAAAATATGTTTAATTGACTCAAAGTCTGCATGGCTGGGGAGGCCTCAGGAAACTTACAATTATGGCAGAAGGTGAAGGGGAAGTGAGCACATCTTCACATGTGGGAGCAGGAGAGAGTGCAAGCGAGTGAAGGGGGAAGTGCCACACTTTTAAACCACCAAATCTCGTGAGAACTCACTATCACGAGAACAACATGGGGGAAATCTGCCCCCAGGATCCAATCACCTCCCACCAGGCCCCTCCACTGACACGTGAGGATTACAATTCAACATGAGATTTGGGTGGGGACGCAGAACCAAACAATATTAGTAGCCATATAAATTGGGGGACGCTGAAAAAAAGAGGCTCTAAAGAGGATACCCCATGAGAACAATAGTGCTTTTTAGTTATTTGTCTCCCCTACTCCAAGTTCAAAACCCCAGAACCTGGCTCAGTTGTATTTTTTTTTTTTTTTTTTTTTTTTTGAGACAGAGTCTCGCTGTCGCCCAGGCTGGAGTGCAGTGGCGTGATCTCGGCTCACTGCAGGCTCCGCCCCCTGGGGTTCACGCCATTCCCTTGCCTCAGCCTCCCGAATAGCTAGGACTACAGGCGCCCGCCACCTCGCCCGGCTAATTTTTTGTATTTTTAGTAGAGACGGGGTTTCACCGTGTTAGCCAGTATGGTCTCGATCTCCTGACCTCGTGATCCGCCGCCTCGGCCTCCCAAAGTGCTGGGATTACAGGTGTGACCCACCGTGCCCAGCCTCAGTTGTATTCTTGACTCATATCAGAAACTGAATAAGTGGAAGGATTCTGGAGCTCTCCAAAGTAGTTTAATATATTATTAAAGTTTCCTACACCTACCTCTGAGGTCCTGAGCCCAGACAGCATGTGTTTGTGGTTGAAAATCACAAACACACTGCAGTTTCTAGCAACAAAATAATACTCTCCATGGAGTTTCTAGATTCCTTAAGGGTCCCTCCATCAGTTCCTCTGCCTCTTGGAATCTATATAGCTCAGGGTTACTCCTACCATTGCCTCAAGAAGGTAAGATCCACGAAGAAAACTGAGATGTTATCTCTTAGAATGCTTTCTTAAAATTGTTTTAGTTTTAAAATTGCAATATTGATGCAAGAAAGCAAGCCAGGGTCATACTACAGGGCATTACAGGCCTACCTTGTTTTATTGTGCTTCTTGTGGGAAGACTTTGTTGAGCACATCTACCCCTACCATTTTTCCAACAGCATATGCTCATTTCGTGTCTCTAAGTGTTCACCTTGAATGGATGAAGAGTTGCTTCTTATGAATGAGCAAAGAAAGTGGTTTCTTTGGATAGCTCTACTCCCAGTGAAGATGCTGTGAACATTGTTAAAATAACAACAAGGAATTTAGTATGTTCTATAAATTTGTTTGATAAAGCAGTAGCAGGGTTTGAGAGGACTGACTCTAATTTTAAAAGAAGTTCTACTGTGGGTAAAATGCTGTCAAACAGCATCATGTACCAGAAAGAAATCTTTCATGAAAATAAGAACCTAATTGACCTGGCAAATTTCAATGTGCTATTTTAAGTTTCCACAGCCACACCAACCTTCAGCAACCAGCACCCTGATCAGTCAGCAACCATCAACATAAAAGCAAAACCCTCTGCCAGCAAAAAGAGTATGATACTGAAAGCTCAGATGATTGATAGCATTTTATAACAATAAAATATTTTTAATTAAGATATGTACTTTTGTGTTCTAGATATAATGGTATTGCATACTTTAAAAACTATAGTATAGGGTAAGCATAACTTTTTTTTTTTTTTTTTTTTTTTTTTGAGATGGAGTCTCGCTCTGTTGCCCAGGCTGGAGTGCAGTGGTGCGATCTTGGCTCACTGCAAGCTCCACCTCCCGGGTTCACGCCATTCTCCTGCCTCAGCCTCCCGAGTAGCTGGGACTACAGGCGCCCGCCACCACGCCCAGCTAATTTTTTTGTATTTTTAGTAGAGACGGGGTTTCACCGTGTTAGCCAGGATGGTCTTGATCTCCTGGCCTCGTGATCTGCCCGCCTTGGCCTCCCGAAGTGCTGGGATTACAGGCATGAGCCACCGCGCCCGGCCGGGTAAGCATAACTTTTATATGCACTGGAAAACCAAAAAATTTGTGTGGATTTCTTTATTGCAATGTTCACTTTATTGCAGTGGTCTAGAACTGAATCTGCAATATTTCTGAGGTCTGTTTGTAGCCCAGATCACTGTCTATGAACTCTTCGCTCAGTGTGAGCTTTCTGATTCCTCAGGACATTATGTGAAATATTTTAAATATAATCTTTGCCTAAAACAGAAGTTACTATGGAGACTCCACCATTTTCTTAGCTGAAATATGCTAACACCTTTATAAAACTAACAAATTCTCACATATCCTCTCTCCCCAAAAGGTGAAAAAAATTTGTTAATCCTCCAAAAGTAGCTAACTCAGAGGTATATCTGGATAATGTAGCATATTTCTGTTGCCTGGACATTGGTTTTTCATTTACCTTAGAGGAGTACACATCCTTTGGCAAATGAACTGAAGATCCCAAATTTACCTAAGTTAATGCTGAATTAGATAATTCCTTATGTCATACTTAATTCCAAATGTATCCATGTTTTCATAAGCTCCTTAAACTATCATAAAGCTTAAATATCAAGAAGAAAACATTATGAAACTGAATAAAATGATTTTAAAGTAATTTTTAAGCAATTCAAAATAATTAAAACAAATTCTAACATAATAGATTTGAAAGGGAATCTTTGGATTCTGTCTCCAGAGCAAATGTTCCATTTGGAAATTCTAACAATGAAAACTGCTGTATTAGTGAAGTATTCCCCTCAAATTTATGGTTTTTGGAAGATCTCCCTGAATTTCTTATATTTTTAGATTCCAACAACTTTATCTACTGTAAAATGCATAATCTCCTTAATCTGAAATGGCCAAATGAAGGAACTCTTACCATTATAATTTTTTCTATCTTCCTCTGAAAGACGAATTCCAGTCATCCTTAAAGTAGTCTAGCAGTTTTAAGATAGTCTCAAAATATAGTCTAATTTATTTTCATGAAAATAAACACTCATCTCCGTAGATTATACTTTTATGAGTTATCTCACCTTCATATTTATATTTAAGCTTCTTTCTTTACAGCTTATTAGAATAAATCACTCAATTTAAAATCTTTCATGAGAAGCAAGTAGATTTTAGACACAATTATGCCACCACTGTGTCTAACCTCTCTCTCATCTTATCAAGAAAATGACTAATAATAGAATAAGCTCTTTGCTGAGCTCATTGATCCTGCCTTGATTCCACAAATAGATTCTGACTGTGTTCCAGCATATACAATCTTGCTACAGATCATATGCTATTATTGTATCAACAAAGCCTGTACTATAATATTCCTCTAAGCCACAGACAAAGAAGTTTCTGGCAGATAAAATGTTTTTATTATATGGTATAGTGAATAAATTAGCTCTACCATTGGTTTTAACATATCTAAAAAATCCACAATCTATTTTAGACTAATATCCTATAATAAGTAGACAACACAAGTATTACATATTGCTGGTTTTATTTATTATCAAAAAGCAAGAATAAATATAAAAACAAATAAAACTATTGGCTAATTATTGTCAGAAAGGACAACTTCATATGAAAACTTAATATGAAAATTAAAGATGAGCGACGCAGAAGACGGGTGATTTCTGCATTACCATCTGAGGTACCGGGTTCATCTCACTAGGGAGTGCCAGACAGTGGGTGCAGGTCAGTGGGTGCGCGCACCGTGCGCGAGCCGAAGCAGGGCGAGGCATTGCCTCACTTGGGAAGCGCGAGGGGTCAGGGAGTTCCCTTTCCGAGTCAAAGAAAGGGGTGACGGACGCACCTGGAAAATCGGGTCACTCCCACCCGAATATTGCGCTTTTCAGACCGGCTTAAAAAACGGCGAACCACGAGATTATATCTCACACCTGGCTCGGAGGGTCCTACGCCCATGGAATCTCGCTGATTGCTAGCACAGCAGTCTGAGATCAAACTGCAAGGCGGCAGCGAGGCTGGGGGAGGGGCGCCCGCCATTGCCCAGGCTTGCTTAGGTAAACAAAGCAGCCAGGAAGCCCGAACTGGGTGGAGCCCACCACAGCTCAAGGAGGCCTGCCTGCCTCTGTAGGCTCCACCTCTGGGGGCAGGGCACAGACAAACAAAAAGACAGCAGTAACCTCTGCAGACTTAAGTGTCCCTGTCTGACAGCTTTGAAGAGAGCAGTGGTTCTCCCAGCACGCAGCTGGAGATCTGAGACCCGGCAGACTGCCTCCTCAAGTGGGTCCCTGACCCCTGACCCCCGAGCAGCCTAACTGGGAGGCACCCCCCAGCAGGGGCACACTGACACCTCACACGGCAGGGTATTCCAACAGACCTGCAGCTGAGGGTCCTGTCTCTTAGAAGGAAAACTAACAAACAGAAAGGACATCCACACCGAAAACCCATCTGTACATCACCATCATCAAAGACCAAAAGTAGATAAAACCACAAAGATGGGGAAAAAACAGAACAGAAAAACTGGAAACTCTAAAACGCAGAGCGCCTCTCCTCCTCCAAAGGAACGCAGTTCCTCACCAGCAACGGAACAAAGCTGGATGGAGAATGACTTTGAGGAGCTGAGAGAAGAAGGCTTCAGACGATCAAATTACTCTGAGCTATGGGAGGACATTCAAACCAAAGGCAAAGAAGCTGAAAACTTTGAAAAAAATTTAGAAGAATGTATAACTAGAATAACCAATACAGAGAAGTGCTTAAAGGAGCTGATGGAGCTGAAAACCAAGGCTCGAGAACTACGTGAAGAATGCAGAAGCCTCAGGAGCCGACGCGATCAACTGGAAGAAAGGGTATCAGCAATGGAAGATGAAATGAATGAAATGAAGCGAGAAGGGAAGGTTAGAGAAAAAAGAATAAAAAGAAATGAGCAAAGCCTCCAAGAAATATGGGACTATGTGAAAAGACCAAATCTACGTCTGATTGGTGTACCTGAAAGTGATGGGGAGAATGGAACCAAGTTGGAAAACACTCTGCAGGATATTATCCAGGAGAACTTCCCCAATCTAGCAAGGCAGGCCAACGTTCAGATTCAGGAAATACAGAGAACGCCACAAAGATACTCCTCGAGAAGAGCAACTCCAAGACACATAATTGTCAGATTCACCAAAGTTGAAATGAAGGAAAAAATGTTAAGGGCAGCCAGAGAGAAAGGTCGGGTTACACTCAAAGGGAAGCCCATCAGACTTCCAGTGGATCTCTCGGCAGAAACCCTACAAGCCAGAAGAGAGTGGGGGCCAATCTTCAACATTCTTAAAGAAAAGAATTTTCAACCCAGAATTTCATATCCAGCCAAACTAAGCTTCATAAGTGAAGGAGAAATAAAATACCTTACAGACAAGCAGATGCTGAGAGATTTTGTCACCACCAGGCCTGCCTTACAAGAGCTCCTGAAGGAAGCACTAAACATGGAAAGGAACAACCGGTACCAGCCGCTGCAAAATCATGCCAAAATGTAAAGACCATCCAGACTAGGAAGAAACTGCATCAACTAACAAGCAAAATAACCAGCTAACATCATAATGACAGGATCAAATTCATACATAACAATATTAACTTTAAATGTAAATGGACTAAATGCTCCAATTAAAAGACACAGACTGGCAAATTGGATAAAGAGTCAAGACCCATCAGTGTGCTGTATTCGGGAAACCCATCTCACGTGCAGAGACACACATAGGCTCAAAATAAAAGGATGGAGGAAGATCTACCAAGCAAATGGAAAACAAAAAAAGCAGGGGTTGCAATCCTAGTCTCTGATAAAACAGACTTTAAACCAACAAAGATCAAAAGAGACAAAGAAGGCCATTACATAATGGTAAAGGGATCAATTCAACAAGAAGAGCTAACTATCCTAAATATATATGCACCCAATACAGGAGCACCCAGATTCATAAAGCAAGTCCTGAGTGACCTACAAAGAGACTTAGACTCCCACACATTAATAATGGGAGACTTTAACACCCCACTGTCAACATTAGACAGATCAACGAGACAGAAAGTCAACAAGGATACCCAGGAATTGAACTCAGCTCTGCACCAAGTGGACCTAATAGACATCTACAGAACTCTCCACCCCAAATCAACAGAATATAAATTTTTTTCAGCACCACACCACACCTATTCCAAAATTGACCACATAGTTGGAAGTAAAGCTCTCCTCAGCAAATGTAAAAGAACAGAAATTATAACAAACTATCTCTCAGACCACAGTGCAATCAAACTAGAACTCAGGATTAAGAATCTCACTCAAAGCCGCTCAACTACATGGAAACTGAACAACCTGCTCCTGAATGACTACTGGGTACATAATGAAATGAAGGCAGAAATAAAGATGTTCTTTGAAACCAACGAGAACAAAGACACAACATACCAGAATCTCTGGGACGCATTCAAAGCAGTGTGTAGAGGGAAATTTATAGCACTAAATGCCCACAAGAGAAAGCAGGAAAGATCCAAAATTGACACCCTAACATCACAATTAAAAGAACTAGAAAAGCAAGAGCAAACACATTCAAAAGCTAGCAGAAGGCAAGAATTAACTAAAATCAGAGCAGAACTAAAGGAAATAGAGACACAAAAAACCCTTCAAAAAATTAATGAATCCAGGAGCTGGTTTTTTGAAAGGATCAACAAAATTGATAGACCGCTAGCAAGACTTATAAAGAAAAAAAGAGAGAAGAATCAAATAGACACAATAAAAAATGATAAAGGGGATATCACCACCGATCCCACAGAAATACAAACTACCATCAGAGAATACTACAAACACCTCTACGCAAATAAACTAGAAAATCTAGAAGAAATGGATAAATTCCTCGACACATACACCCTCCCAAGACTAAACCAGGAAGAAGTTGAATCTCTGAATAGACCAATAACAGGAGCTGAAATTGTGGCAATAATCAATAGCTTACCAACCAAAAAGAGTCCAGGACGGAATGGATTCACAGCTGAATTCTACCAGAGGTACAAGGAGGAACTGGTACCATTCCTTCTGAAACTATTCCAATCAATAGAAAAAGAGGGAATCCTCCCTAACTCATTTTATGAGGCCAGCATCATTCTGATACCAAAGCCGGGCAGAGACACAACCAAAAAAGACAATTTTAGACCAATATCCTTGATGAACATTGATGCAAAAATCCTCAATAAAATACTGGCAAAACGAATCCAGCAGCACATCAAAAAGCTTATCCACCATGATCAAGTGGGCTTCATCCCTGGGATGCAAGGCTGGTTCAATATACGCAAATCAATAAATGTAATCCAGCATATAAACAGAGCCAAAGACAAAAACCATATGATTATCTCAATAGATGCAGAAAAGGCCTTTGACAAAATTCAACAACCCTTCATGCTAAAAACTCTCAATAAATCAGGTATTGATGGGACATATTTCAAAATAATAAGAGCTATCTATGACAAACCCACAGCCAATATCATACTGAATGGGCAAAAACTGGAAGCATTCCCTTTGAAAACTGGCACAAGACAGGGATGCCCTCTCTCACTACTCCTATTCAACATAGTGTTGGAAGTTCTGGCCAGGGCAATCAGGCAGGAGAAGGAAATAAAGGGTATTCAATTAGGAAAAGAGGAAGTCAAATTGTCCCTGTTTGCATATGACATGATTGTATATCTAGAAAACCCCATTGTCTCAGCCCAAAATCTCCTTAAGCTGATAAGCAACTTCAGCAAAGTCTCAGGATACAAAATCAATGTACAAAAATCACAAGCATTCTTATACACCAACAACAGACAAACAGAGAGCCAAATCATGAGTGAACTCCCATTCACAATTGCTTCAAAGAGAATAAAATACCTAGGAATCCAACTTACAAGGGATGTGAAGGACCTCTTCAAGGAGAACTACAAACCACTGCTCAACGAAATAAAAGAGGATACAAACAAATGGAAGAACATTCCATGCTCATGGGTAGGAAGAATCAATATCGTGAAAATGGCCATACTGCCCAAGGTAATTTACAGATTCAATGCCATCCCCATCAAGCTACCAATGACTTTCTTCACAGAATTGGAAAAAACTACTTTAAAGTTCATAGGGAACCAACAAAGAGCCCACATCGCCAAGTCAATCCTAAGCCAAAAGAACAAAGCTGGAGGCATCACACTACCTGACTTCAAACTATACTACAAGGCTACAGTAACCAAAACAGCATGGTACTGGTACCAAAACAGAGATATAGATCAATGGAACAGAATAGAGCCCTCAGAAATAACGCCACATATCTACAACTATCTGATCTTTGACAAACCTGACAAAAACAAGCAATGGGGAAAGGATTCCCTGTTTAATAAATGGTGCTGGGAAAACTGGCTAGTCATATGTAGAAAGCTGAAACTGGATCCCTTCCTTACACCTTATACAAAAATCAATTCAAGATGGATTAAAGACTTAAATGTTAGACCTAAAACCATAAAAACCCTAGAAGAAAACCTAGGCATTACCATTCAGGACATAGGCATGGGCAAGGACTTCATGTCTAAAACACCAAAAGCAATGGCAACAAAAGCCAAAATTGACAAATGGGATCTAATTAAACTAAAGAGCTTCTGCACAGCAAAAGAAACTACCATCAGAGTGAACAGGCAACCTACAAAATTGGAGAAAATTTTTGCAACCTACTTATCTGACAAAGGGCTAATATCCAGAATCTACAATGAACTCAAACAAATTTACAAGAAAAAAACAAACAACCCCATCAAAAAGTGGGCAAAGGACATGAACAGACACTTCTCAAAAGAAGACATTTATGCAGCCAAAAGACACATGAAAAAATGCTCACCATCACTGGCCATCAGAGAACTGCAAATCAAAACCACAATGAGATACCATCTCACACCAGTTAGAATGGCAATCATTAAAAAGTCAGGAAACAACAGGTGCTGGAGAGGATGTGGAGAAATAGGAACACTTTTACACTGTTGGTGGGACTGTAAACTAGTTCAACCATTGTGGAAGTCAGTGTGGCGATTCCTCAGGGATCTAGAACTGGAAATACCATTTGACCCAGCTATCCCATTACTGGGTATATACCCAAAGGACTATAAATCATGCTGCTATAAAGACACATGCACACGTATGTTTATTGCGGCATTATTCACAATAGCAAAGACTTGGAACCAACCCAAATGTCCAACAATGATAGACTGGATTAAGAAAATGTGGCACATATACACCATGGAATACTATGCAGCCATAAAAAATGATGAGTTCATGTCCTTTGTAGGGACATGGATGAAATTGGAAATCATCATTCTCAGTAAACTGTCGCAAGGACAAAAAACCAAACACCACATATTCTCACTCATAGGTTGGAATTGAACAATGAGAACACATGGACACAGGAAGGGGAACATCACACTATGGGGACTGTTGTGGGGTGGGGGGAGGGGGGAGGGATGGCATTGGGAGATATACCTAATGCTAGATGATGAGTTAGTGGGTGCAGCACACCAGCATGGCACATGTATACATATGTAACTAACCTGCACATTGTGCACATGTACCCTAAAACTTAAAGTATAATAATAATAAATAAATAAATAAAAGAAAAGTTAAGAAAATAGTTTATTGGTGTTCCACGTCATCTACCTCCCCCATCTCAACAAATTTTCACATAGATTCCTAGAAAGAAATTCTTGATAAACTTTTCTCCTGCTGTTTTTCTCATTATAAGCACTATCCTCGAAGTCAACGAATTTCAGAATGTTAGACAACTTATCCTCCAGCTTCTAATTCAGTATCATCTCCTTTTAAAAGTTTTCCACATTTTGTTAGTTTGGGAATGTTGCCCCTTCTATGAATAATCTGTTCCTGTTTGTTAATAGTCTATACATCTTCACTAGACAGTGTATGTACTCACTGAAGATAAGAACTTAGATGTTTATCTTAGTGTTCCCAGAAACTGGCATAGTAGTAAATGTATGTTGACAAAAAAATTTGAAATTTGTTGACTTTAAGGATAGTGCTTATAACGAGAAAGACAAGAGGAGAATAGTTTGTCAAGAACTTATTTCTAGGAATCTATGAGCAAATGAGTGAATGAATAAGTTGGCATGAGAACGAAGTCAGATAAGTCTTCATAATCATTTTCTGATCCATTTTTAATGAAATTACTCTTTTATCTCAACTATAGCCATAACCTTCTATAGTGAACATCTTGCTCTTAGTTTTTCCCTTTCCAATCTGCATCCTCTGCTGTCTTTTTATACTGTATCATCTGCCAGATCACTTTATCCTTCTGTTTGAAAACTCCCAGTTGCTCCCAACGATATAACTAATGATAAGAGTTACACAGAAACATATATACTCTCAAATTCTCTCTTGTATTAATTATAAAGACACATGCTGCCTGGAATGGGATGAGCTGCTCTGTCTACTTCTCTCTCATGGTGTCTCTGGCTCCCCATTGCTCTACTGTGTTCTCTCAATTCTTTCTCTGCCAGCCAGATTCCTGAGCCTATTTTTATTTTCTGCCCATGGCCACCAGGGCCTCTTCAGATTCTTCTCTATACCATGACAATTGAGCTGCAATCTCTGCTGCTCACTGGCCTACTCTCTGTGCATTCTTTAATTCCCACTCATAAGAGGGAATCTCACTGGCTCAGCTTGAATATTTGCACAAAGCTCCAAATTACTATTCTTTGTTCACCTCCTTACCTCCCTCTCAAGGCATGAAACAGAAGCAGAGTTTAATAATTCAGAAACATTACCTGTAAAGTCCACCCCTTTAGCAGAGCTGCGGGTAGAGCAATTGATCTGAGAATGGGCTGTAGAATGAAAGGTACTGGTGCTGAAGCCAGTCTATATGACTAGCTGTTGGAGCTGTATGTTCTTGTGTAAGTTTCTTAATGTCTTGTTACCTTAATTTCTTCATTTGTATATTAAGAATACTAATAGGACCAAACTCATAGAATTGTTGTGAGCATTAAGTGACTGGACATATATATATATATATATATATACACACACACACATATATGGATGTGTATATATATATACACATATATACACATGTATGTATACACACATACATACACATGTATGTGTGTGTATCTATCTATCTATCTATCTATCTATCTATCTATCTATCTATCATCTAGCTATATCATAGAATAATACCTAGCCCATTGTAACCACTGCAAAGTGTTAAAGTGTTAATTACTATTACCTATTTCCATCAGGGTCCGGGTCAAATGAAATCTCCAATCCAAAGTCACCTACAGACCCCACTAACCACTGTCCCCTGAGCAATTAAAACATAGCTATTATTTCTTTCCCTCTGGGATTGTCCTCCTTCTATTTTACTGCAGAATCCAGGCTTTTCTCTCATCCATGTTCTTATTTGCTCCTTCTACCTGGGGATAATATCCTTAACTCTATTTAATGAACATTCCCAGCTTTGAATTATACATTTTTAGCAAATATGGTCTTTTCTCTCAATGTTCTCAGGAGATGTGTTTAATACCAAAGAATATGGTTAGATTGTGCAATATTTTTTTCCTACCTTAGAAACTGCTCATTTGAAAATGGAAATTCGACATTTCATCCAGTCATCAAGCTCTCTCTGTTAAGAGAATAAGTCCACTCCCTTACTTATTAGACAAAAAGAGAGTTAATGTCTACAACTAATAATGGCACATTCTGATATTCCAGCTCATCAGGTTCCTATTACAAATAATTATTTTATTAAAGACTTGCAGCTGTTTAAACTAAACAAATAATTGGAACAAAATGCCTAATTTACTAGTTAAAAGGATTGATTATTTGAATCTGAACATAAACAGGAGTATTATCTTGAATATAGTTGACGATTTGCAAATGCTCACTAAACTTTTATGTAATAGTAGTAAAGTCTCTTTTGTCTCAGGAAACATTTGTTTATCACAAATGGTTAGTTTTCAATGTCATTAATATTTAGAACAGTGGACATGAAATAGTTATATGATGAGGATATTATAAAGTTTTTAAAAGTTGAGCTGTACTAAAGAACAGAAAGACTTTAATACAGAACTAACTCCTTTTATGCCTAGTTGTCAATCAAAATGTTGATTCTAACTATTCTCTTTTTTAGAGAAGAACATATGTTTTTGGTACAGCTTGGAAAATAATATTGCCCCTTCCTTTGGATAACCATATATGGCAAAGGTGTTTCATTGTCCAGAGACTCACTATGCTTTTATATCTCACAGATATAGAATCCCAATGAATCTCCATATTCAGTTCAAGATCCCATTGTTTAATTTAAAATTAATTTTTATATGACAGAAAGGAGAATGAATAGGAATCTTGAGAGGCAGAATAGTAGTGGCCAATATAAGAGAAAACTCTCATCTGGCATGGGATGTTAGTTGCCCTAAATGTGAAAATATAGCAATTAATCAAATCAATGTTTTTTGATATTAAATGAAAAAAGTAAACCAAATTCTGACCTTAGTTAACCTATGCATAAATGTAGGAATGTCATAGGGAAACGAGAGAACCAGTAGGAAGGCTGGAATACAAAGCGGTGTCCAGAGCCAAACACAGATTGCATAGCACTTGGCCATTGTCCAGATGGACGCTCACAGCTATCACCACTGGGGCTGCGAATATTTGAACTTTGCCAACACAGCTGGATACTCATTGCCTGCCACCAGACTCTCCTCTCTTGCCACCACCATAAAATAAAATCCCCACTGGCCCTGCTCCAAATTATCCTCAGTTGAAACATGTTCACTACAGATTTCTACATTTCGAAGCTTGAGTTTCACCTGTTGAAGGTTAAATAAAATTTTAATACACCAAATGAATTATAAATCATTCCTATGGACTATTGTGAATTTTTAAATAAATATCACAGTTACAAATACTGTTCAGTGTGAATGTGTGTGTGTTTGCTTTTTTGGTTCTTTAAGGAATTTCCCAACTCTAGCCTGAAGACGATCTGGTAGAAAAGCGATATGTACTTGGAGTGTATGTTTCAGTAGAGAACCCAACCAAGATAATACAGTAAAGAAAGCAGTCAATAATTATGTAAGTAAAAACTTAAAAATCTTAATAATGGTCAGTGGAACTGGGAAGAAGATGGCTCTTTAAATGTGTGAATTGTCTTTAAATGTGTAAGTACATATATAATTACACGTAAATATAAAAGTAGATCACATATAAAGAGCAGTTGATATACAGAAAGACTTAAAAAGGAAACAAGTATTATTTTAGAGCAGTAATTTTGGAGTAATAAGTTATTCATATCAATAAAACATGTATTCTGTGTTATTTTTTTCAGTAATGATGAACAGTTTGGGCTAATATTTTTCTGTGTTTGTCAGTAATGTGAATGACTACTTTGCTTAATTGGGCAATAGTTTTGAATACTGGAAAAATATCCCTTCCATTTTAAATATTCTATTTACATTGTAAAATCTACAGAACTTACACATTTTTAAGTTTAGACTGCATTATTAACATTTTAACCCCATATATATATATATAAATATCTTGATGAACTTACAAACAATATATATGTAAACTATAAATGTACAGTTTACACATGCATTTTTACCTCATCTTCCACCAAATAAATTTTAAGAAAATAAATAAATATGGTGATAGTATACAGATATTATTTTATACATTTGTATACAAATGCAAAATATTGTTTTTTAATAACTAGGTGACTTACCACTTTATTAAAATTATTAAGTAGTAAAAAAGGAAAATAAGTGACTAAAATAAATATATTATTGTGAATTTTTTCTGATCAGACCCTCTTTGAGAATCTAATGAATATATAAATGTATATGCATTTTTAATTAAATATCTGGGGAATTCAATAATTTTAAAAATACACATACATGCACATATGCAGTCAATTTCTATATGATGCAAACATTCATATATTTTGCTTAAAGGCAAAGACATGCTAAGTTTCTTTTTAATATCCATAATAAATTTACCCTTCACATAAATGAAAAACACAATGTAAATAACTAATTCAATTTAAAACTTTCTATCTTTTCCCAGAAAATTAAACCAAAGTATCTAATCAGTCCAATGTGTTTAAATGTAGGAAACCTGATTTAATTACTTGCTTTCTTTCTGTTTCAAAGTGTGGACTGGTGCAAGATGTGGCTCATTAAAAGTTGTGATATACCCTGCCAATAAAATCCAGCAGATTGTACATTAGAAACATGTAATTAAGCTAATATATGATACGTAAATTTACGAGTCCTATTTTGACCTTCTAATCAATAAGACACCAAAGATAAGACAAAGATTTGAAACCAAATGACATTTTCATAGTATACACATCTTATTTTAAAATGTTTAAGAAGCTTAAATCGTTGTATTCATATCACCATTAAATGATAACTCACAATGGAAAATTTCCTCTTACACTGTGAATAGATGCATTCACAATGAAGCAATGATAACCTTAATAGCATGTCCAAAAATGCAAAATCATGCCTAAACTTGGCAAGTTATCATACAAGAGTAATAAAAATATGTTTCCTATTTCCTAGGCCACAATTTAAAACAATGACAAAAAGGTAGAAAGCTACTGTAATGTACAAATGTGTGGATTTTTAAACACCAATATTTGAACATCCTTCCAATTCAGGAGGACCCCTCCATCCATCAATCTAGAAAGATTTTGTAATCAATCTAGAAAGGTTTTCTGAAATAGGTGAAATGTTAGACACTATTTCAGGAAGGAGAAAGAGACTGAGAGAGGGAAAAAGAGACTGAGAGAGAGAGAAAGATAAAGATTCAGGGACTCTGGTTGTGTTTACAGGAACATAACCCCAGGCATATGACATTGTTTTGGTATGGGAAAAATTCAAAATGAGAGTAGAGAAAAAGTGACAATAGGTTTCCTGGAAATAGGTTCAGAAAATTGTTTGGAAATAGAAAGTAAAGGGGAAGAAATACATATCATTTGGTAGCAGGACTTTGATCTTAAAATAAGAAGCTGGAACTGAATGTATAGTGAAATGGGAAGCTAGAGATAAACTTCCAGGTGTTAGGGTGGTTGTAATATGTTAAAAATAACTCATGCTAGAATACTTTTGACAGTAGAAACGAGGGTATATTGAAGGGGCATGTTTAAAAAGAACAGTATTGAAAAACTATCTTGTGAAGTGATAGTAACAGAAATAGTTCTAGAGTAAATGACATCTAAGACAGTGCTGAGGGTGACATGGGAAGAGAATCTAGGGGGAACCATAAAAAAAGCAACAAGATTTTACCACCAAATGTGTATGCCAATCAAAGTGAGATGCATTGAAAATCACTTTCTGTCCTTCCTTGAGTTGTCAGCAAAACAACACTTTTTCATCTAATTAGTGGGATGTTCTACAAGTAGGAAAAAGATTGGAAAAATCATGAGAGGAATCTATCTTCATCATATGCGGCTGAAGTTAACATCAGACTACCCCATCACATTTGAAGGAGAGATGCTATACAAAACTGGACACAAAATGTGACTATGAAATGGAAGGGGTGAGATAAACTTTGTCCCTACATCAGCAGTCTTGAATTTTATGGATGTGATTTTATCACTCAGATTCAGGATATATCCCTCCTCTTGCTGCTGCATTAAATGTAGTCTTTCTTCTCATAAAAAAGTAAGGGAAAAATCTCAAAGTTAAAATCAGAAGAATAAGATTCATAAGTATTACTAAAACCTATTAGCTTGATCTAAAAGCCAAAGAAAGTGATTTCTTCCTTTTATTTGTAGTGATGTAATTCTGTCAAGTGCTAATGTTTTATTTTTAAACCATTAAACTTAGTACATAAAATCTCTGAAAAAAGTTCACTGGACCTCTTGACTGAATATTTTATCTTGACTTTTTTGTATACAAACGTAGCCTTGGATAGTATTCCCAGAAGCATTTACTGGTCTTGGTGATCAAAATTTCAAAAAGATTTAACAAATAGAGAAATAATTGGATTTTGTAACACTGAGAAGCCCTCACTCTGAGTTAAAATAGATAAACAGATAGTAAGGTTGGGCAACAACTTCAAAGTTTAAAGTGAATATTTAAAAGAAAATGTATAGCTTTTCATTTGTATTTTTGTGTATAATTGGAATGGAAATTTTCATTTAGCAGTGTATAGAAGAAAAAAAATCTAGAAAAATGCCAGGAATATATGGAAGGACCTAAAAAAGAAGTATTTTATAGTGATGTGTCAAGGAAACCCTTTTCTAAAATACTGAAATAAGTGTGACCTGAAGAATGAATAGGATCTTGCTAAGTAAACAGTGAGTGGGAAAAAACCACTCTGGATAAACAGAACTATATGGGTAACAAATTAAAGAAAAGAAAAAAACCTGCAGGCTACCTGAGAAGTTAGAATCTTAATGTATGCAAATTTTAGAAAATATTTAGGAGGTCAAAGTATTGTAGGATGGAATGTAGGCTGTGATAAAACAATCTGACTGTATTACAAATATATGAAAGAACCCCACTGAAAGGGGTGGAGAAAAAAGTGCTGA
Source organism: Homo sapiens (assembly GCF_000001405.40). NCBI lineage: Eukaryota > Metazoa > Chordata > Mammalia > Primates > Hominidae > Homo > Homo sapiens. The sequence continues at coordinate 188,136,479 of NC_000002.12, forward strand.
ACTGAAAAACTTTGCATATAACTGGAATCTGTATGGCTAAAGGCAAAATAAATTGTATATATGGATAATATGTGAGCTGACAGATTTAATCTTCACGGGGGTATGTGTTAAACAATGACAGAACTATACATATATACTAAAATTGAACAATTAGTAAATAAATGGTAGATGATAGAAGCCAGGTGTTTCACTTTTAGAGCAGAAGATTACAAGTAAGCAAAGAGAAGAGGGTAGAACGATTTATGTGGTAATGGACTGGAATTGAAGACATTACTACAGACTTATTAATATGTTTAGCTTAATACACAGATGGTTTATATATATATTTATAGCTACATGTATATACACATGTATTCCTTTGTTCTGTCAGCTGAGAAAGGCTGGAGGCAACAACACTCTAGTAGCCATGAGAACCCCTCATGCCTAGAGTTTGGTTTCTAACACCATTCTCCAATAAAAGCAAAAGCAACCAGGCTCTTTGGAGAAATGGCTGGTTCTACAACAGGGGCAGAAAACTTAAAAATGAGATTATGGTACCTTATATTGCCATAAAGTAAAGAAGTGCTCAAAAATTTACAAAGAAAAAATTTAAACACGATGATGGGATTATGCCAAAGGAACACAAGAGCCAACTGAAAGAGCTGTCAATGGCTAAAGCAATTTGAGCAAGAAAATAAATGAAGTAGTATTGGATTATAACCCATAGTAGTAAATAAACACCTGAGTCCCTACTGATACAAATAAATGATTGAATAATTTTTTATTTTGGATGAATAGAAATCTCCCATACAGAAGAATTCCCAATAATTTATCTAGACATTCTGCCCTCAAGAAAATAAAGTGTAATTTTCACTTAAGTATGGGCTGTGTATAGTGACTTCTTTCCAAAAGGAACAGAATGGAAAGAGAGAAACAAAGAAAAGCTTAACAATGGACAAACTTGACAAACACTACCTCAACCAGGTGTTCAAAGTAAGTCACAATGATAGTATATACCTTTGCTACGCTATGACAAAAATGGTATTTTACCTGTGTGGTCTTCATCCCCCAAATCCACAAGCCCCAATCTAATCATAAGGAAAACATCAGCGAAATCCAAATTGAAAGACATTCTACAAAATACCTCACTTATACTCTTCAAAACTGTTAAAGCCATCAACAACAAGGAAAGTATAAGAAATTGTCACCATCGGCCAGGTGCAGTGGCTCACACCTGTAATCCCAGCACTTTGGGAGGCCAAGGCGGCAGATCACCTGAGGTCAGGAGTTTGAGACCAACATGGTGAAACCCCATCTCTGCTAAAAATATTTTTAAAATTAGCTGGGCATGGTGGTTGGTGCCTGTAACCCCAGCTACTTGGGAGGCTGAGGCAGGAGAATTGCTTGAACCTGGGAGGCAGAGGTTGCAGTGAGCTGAAATTGTGCCACTGCACTCCACTCCAGCCTGGGCAACAGAGCAAGACTCCATCTCGACAAACAAACAAAAAGAAAAAGAAAAGAAACTGTCACAGTCAAGCAGCACCTAAGGAGACAAGGAGACATGACAACTAAATGTATTGTGGTATCCCGGATATGATTCTGGAAAAAGAAAAAGGACATTAGGTTTGAAACTAAGGGAATCTGAATAAAGAGTATGGACTTTAGTCAATAAAAATGTATCAATGTCATTTCATCAATTGCAACAAAATTAAGATGCTAATATAAAATTTTAACAAGTGGGGAAACAGTGTGGGTATATGAGAATCCTACACTGTGGACTAATAGCACAACTTTTCTGTATATCAACATTTTTTCTAAAATATAAAGTTTATTTGAAAAAATACATAAAAGAGAAAATTATACTCAAAGTATAAAATTGTATTCTCAAAAATTGGGAAAAAAATATGTACTTTGGACAAGATATTGCAATTGTACACATGGCATTGAGACTGTTTGTGAGATTTAAATACAGCCTAAAGCTAATTCCTTTAGCTGCAAATTCTTTCATCCTCCAAATATATGAGATATGATCCTCTTGAAGAGATGTGTCAGCAATTTCTCCTTCTTAAATAGGTTAGTCTCAAGCACAATGAATTTCTTTAGTTTTCCTCTGCTGCTAGTTCCCCTTGCCTTTCTAATGAAGATTTTGTTATTGCTTTCACCTGTGCAATTATTTTTCAAAACAATATGTTTCTCTATTACAGATTCCAAATAATTAATCAGAAAAATACTCCCATTTCACTAAGAAAATACCACTCACAATTTATTTGCTTTGTTTCATTACTAGCATGAAGTATTTTCACTTAAAACCAAAATAATTTATTTCTTGCTTAAAAAATAATGCTACAGGCCTCACCTGTCTTAACAGATACATATGAATGATAGATTATCTTATTGATGAACAGATAGAAAAACAAATTTGTTTTGAGCTCTTAGTTTTAAAAGTATGCCCATCATGAAGGCCAAAAGATGGGGCAAATAATAAAAAGCTGTCCTTATGACTAAATCCTGTTATGTATTTTTATATACATAATTAAAAACCAAATATAATTTTTGGCAATGAGTACTTTGATAAAGGTAAGAATTCCTGAGTAATTGCTGATTATTTGAATTGCACTGATCTTCTTTTTCTCTCTTTTTCACAATGTGAAGTTCTATACTAAAGAAAATAAGATGGTGAGTAAGTGAAACTTGGTGAAAACCAACCCTCTAACATTTTGCTAAGAAAATGCAGATCAAAACATTTGGTAAACTTTGAAGTGGTATGCAAAAAGTAATGTATGATTGCATTTTTGTCCATCTGAAAATATGAGTTAGGAAGGTGGAAAACCAACAGAAGGGTAAAACTGCTAGGGACAGCAGATTTTATAACACCAGAAATGAAACGGTCAGCTTTCATAACACCAGAAATGAAATTAAATGAAAGTCCTCAAAAAAAGGATCAGAACACTTTTCCATCTTGTAGTTTCCACTTCTGGACTTTAAAGAAAAGCTCATCTTTTTCTTTTACAGTGACCTAGAAAGAATCAGCAGAGCCTTTGTAAATAACTCCTGCCTTAAACTTTTCATTCTACTACCTGAATCCTGCAGCACCTACCTCTATTTTTGACTTCCACCTCCATTGATAAGATATAATCAAATTAGATTAGATTATCATACTTACCATTTTTCATTGTTGGATGCTCTCGTGGAGGCTGTGGTTGGGGAAAGGTTTCACAGTGAAGTATTATTTGTCCAATAAAGCATTATAGGCAGCTCCAGTTTTCTTTAAAAATAGACATAACTGCATAAAATACAGAAGTAGAAGAGAAACAGACAAAGTAAAATGACACTTAACATTATTTAAGGATGACTGAATATTTCATTTTAAATAAATGTCATTAAGAATTTTTATATTATTTTCAATTTTCTTGTCCTCTCCCCAATCTTTTTTCAAAGACTAGTAATGACATTAGCAGTAAGAACAAAAATAACAGTAATACCTTACATATATGTTATTTTATAATAACTGCTTAAAATTGTATAATGCTATTAGAATTATATGATTCTAATCATATAAAAAGTCCAAACTTCTTATCCTTCCAAATCTTTCATTTTTTTAGGATTCTGTTGTATTCTGTACTTGACCTATCCCCAATTGCTTACAATTCTAGGAATATGGAAAGACTTTTTGCCTCTAATCCTTTGTGTATAGTCTTTCTCTAGTTCCCCTTTTTGTTAACTTTTATTTATCCTGCAAATCTTGGCTTTAAAACTCAACCCTTGGTGATCCCCAAGTTTGAATTTGATGATCTTCTTTTGTGCTGGCCTCAGAAAACCCATTATCAGTGTACATACAGTGTTGTGAAATTGCCTCTTATCTGTATTTATTATTATATAGAAGAACTTTGAGTGTAAGACATACACACACACACAAACACACAAATATATATAGTCTCCAATGCATACCTATTGCCTCATCCCATGCCTGGCCTGCGTCACACATGGGAAGTGATCAACATGTACATGTGAATCAATGGATGGATTGATGGAGGGATAAAATAAGCATGGTATGCTATTTTTTTCAGAGGACTCAGTTGAGCTGCTTAGGCTTCATTGTTCAATTACACAAGTGTTCTTGAATATCTATTATGTGGCAGGAATAGTTCTGAGTGCTAGCCATATATCCATGAACATAGTGCTTGTTCCCTGAGTTTACACCAAAATTTATCAGTGTTGTCACTACTGATATTTTGGGTGGGATAATTATTTGTAATGGGGAGGCTCTGTCCTGTGCATTAAAGAACACTTAGCAGCATCCCTGGTTTCTACTCATTAGATGACAATAGAATCTCAGTTTTGACTACAAAACATGTCTCCAGGCTTTACCAAATGTCCCCCAGGGTTCAAAAACATCCTTGGTTGAGAAGCATTGTGTTACAATGTATTGTGTGAAAGAGATGTTAAAGTTGTATTTATATTAAGTGTTGTGATGGAAGACGTAGAAGATGATGAAGGTATATAGAGGAATGCATACGTGAATCATTGCAAGGACATAAGAAAAGCAACTCATTAAAGTGACAGGGAACACATAAGACATTTCTTCCGTCCACAAAAAGCACACAATCTAGCAGATATAGGAAGTGGACAAATAGACCATTACAATATAGTATAATGAAAATACCCTTAGAAGTATGCAAGAATGAGACAAACACAGAAGTATCCCTAAGGAAGATTTTAGGACTCCAGAAAAAGTTACATGAATAAGTACGATGCATTACAAAAGGGCATGGATTATATTTATTAGCATTAAGTATTTATGGAGTTTGGAAGTTCAAAGAAGATGTGGAGGACATAACTTAAAAATATACAACTTGATTTCTGCTGTCAAAAAGTATAAAACAAAGTATGAAGGGCCCAATATTTATAAAACTATTAGAAAACAATAAAGTTCTAATTCTTGTGATGTAATACACAAAATTAGTACCTCCAAAAAGGAAGCAGTCAGTGTGGGCTGCAATAATAGCAGCTTCATAGAGAAGATAGGAATTGAGAGGGGTTTTAGAAAGAGAAAGGCAAATGAGGATGATAGGCCCATCAAGGCAACAGGGAAGGAAGCATAAAAGGAAATCCTCCATGATAAGAATGAGCAGGAAGGTTGGAGCTGAGTCTGTGACACTGGGGCAATAGTGACAGTATAAAATATATAAGGACAGGTTTTGAAAGCAGAGAAGCAGTTGCAGTACACAAATTTAAACCATGCTGTTTTTTTTTTTTTTTACCAGTACACTGGCAGGTAAAAGTCTACTTGAATATAACTGCATAGTTAATATATAATATTAATGAGAGAAATAAAGAAACTGGAAGAAAGTTTCAGTAATCCAGGGTGAGATGGCAAGTCTAGTGACAATAGGTTGAACAACAAAAAAAGGTGAAATCCAAATGTGTACAGTAAATATTTGCATTTTTTGTATATTAGTTATACTTTAATAAAGCTTTTGAAAAAGAATTGTAAATAATAGCACTCAGCATCCAACGAATTGTTCTCTCTCCTTTGTTTCTTTGTCCAAAACTTCTGTAAGGTTTAGCTTTAAAGGAAATAATGACTACAGGAAATAAAACAATTGGAAAAGTGAGGTGATGAAGGTAGAGGAAGATTGAATTAAAATAAAGAATCCTTGTCTGAACCAGGGATTCTCAAATCTAACTGCATTTTTGGAAGTATGGGGAGAGTCTTAAAGTTAGTGATTCTCTTGGTCAAACCCAGAGAAGCTTATATATTGACCATCCCCACTGCTGGTATGTTATAAAACTTCCTGATGACTCTAATATGCATCCAGGGCTGAGAATTACTTGTCTGGACTCACCTGAGACTGTCTTCACCTGGAGTCCCTTGACACTCAAGCTTTTGTTAGGCACACAGCTTTTCAGTAGATACTCATAAGGGGTGAGCACTGGCCCTACAACCTTTCCTCTTTTGAATTATGCACTAATTAATGATCTTCAAACCTCCTTTTTTTCATACATAAAATTAATATAACCATAAACTTCACAGTGAATTAATTCATTAGACTGGCAAAATCTACCAAGTATTTCTTGCTTCTGGTGATAGTTTTCACAATTTTAGATGATATGAAATGTTTTGGAATAAAATTACAGTTTCTTCTAAGGAACCATGTTTGTCCTTTCCTTTCTGAATAAGAAAAACAAGAGTATAAGGAGAAAGAGAAAGAGGAAGAACTATTCTTTTTTCATCTCACCCTGTTGATACATATTCAATATTAAACAAGGGTTTCTTGAAAGAAAAATTAATGATTGCATCAGGATATGTTCATGTCTATCCTTGTCCCTCTGCCTCTTCAAATAGTGCAACATATTTTCCTGATGAGTAAAACTTTCAGTGATGTTATCATATGACTGGAAAACAATACGAGAACAAGATCTCAACCAAAGCTCTGAAATTCATTATGGGAAATGTGCAAAAAACATCCTACTCAGAAATGCAGTACCAAACATAGATGGCATTGTACTTAAATTAGAAATTCTCTCATGATACTTGGAATATACTTGTAATTATGCAAATTTACAAGGACATGTTTATTCACATTTTTCTGGAATGTTAAAAGTTGAAATTCATTTTGAACCAACCAATGGTAGGAGTGATTAATACTCACTAACCAATACTCTCCTTTGTCTTAAAGTGACTGGGTTGTGTTCGATCAAATGTTTTTGGTCAAATTCTCTTTTTATCTACTCGGAAAAAAAAAAAACACACCACATTTTCAAAGACAAGGAAATGGTGTTTTTATAAAAATGCAAATATGATTAGGTCATTGCCCTGTGTAAAACCATTCTGTGGCTTTCTATTGCTCTTGCTTTAAATTAGATTTATCTTAAACTAGCCTATAAGGCCCTTCTGACCTCTCTTACTTCATCTTATGCCACTTTCCCCTTTGCTTTCTGTATTTTAGCTATGCTGCTCTTTTTTCACTTTCTCAGATGTCAAAGTCTGCTCCAGCCTCAGAACTTGAGACTGCCAGTCCCTCTCCTGGATTTCCCTGCACCCTCAGTTAACTTATCCTGTTTAGGGAAGACTTAGCTGAACTGACAGATTAGGGTAGGTACCTATATTGTCTACTGTCTGAGATCGTTCCTTAATGGTACATAAGTATGTACAATTGTATATTTTGTGTCATATTTGATTTGAGACTCTCACCCACATTTGTGTTTAAGCGTCCTGATAACAGGGATCTCATGTGCTGATTATTATAGTCCTAATATTTAGCCCAGGGTCTGATACATGGCAAGCACAGAAATAATAACTTGAGGGTTGGACAGGGTTGTAACAGTTGGGTGGGAGGTTTTTGTCTCTTAGACTCCAAATCCATAGCATAAAAGCAACATTGATTACATTTAGCATTTGTGATAGTTTGGGTATTACAAGCCTGAGGTTTCTACACATCAAGGGGGCCATGAAAGTAGTGGGGACTCTCAGGCTCCATTATTTGGAAAAGCCCAAGGGAAGGTATACTTGTCCTAAAAAACACTGCACACACACAATGATTACAATATCAAATCTTTTGGATTGTAACCAATGATAACATATCAGCACCCTTGAAGTCATGCTCATCAGAAGCCTTGATTGGCTCTGGTTTATGTCTGATTAATACCAAATGGGAAAAATGTAATCTAAGAAAAGCAGTTTAGAAGACAAAGTCCATTATAACAAGATCAACTAAGGAGAAAAACAATAGAAGTCATCTGTGGAAATAACCAGGAGGTCCTGGCAATAAGAGAGTGGTAAGGACAGTAGCTCTTAAATCTCAGCTCTACCACTCCCAGCTATATAAATTTGGACACATTTTTAAAACTAAATAAGCTCCAGTTTCTGATCTGTAAAATGGGGACTAATAATATTCACTTTATATATGTAAAGTGCCTGACACAGTGTCATGTCAGAGAGAAGGCACTATAATGTCTGGCTAATGTGGGTAACAATAGTAGAATTAATAACTATTGGATATATGCAGCCAAGAGTCTTTTTACTAAGATATCTTCAGGGATAGCTGTAAACTGCACTTTGTGTATGCATTAGTATCTCTTCTCATATGTTTAAACAGATAGCAAATATCGTTCAGTGAGGGAATTGTGACTCTTTTAATTGACTTTAGTAAGAATTAAATAATAACTGTGGATAAATTAATTTTTACCATTTTTCTTACATTCAAATTACTGTTGTCCTATGAATTTTTGTCTGTAAGGAAGCAAATCTAAGCAAATTTACATATTTCACAGACTTTTCTATTGAGCTTTTAAAATTTGATAAAGTTGTAGGTGCCATTGGTCTGTCTGTTGTCTGATATGTAGCAAAAATTTTAATTACTGCTGGAAGTTACAAAATATTTTTCAATTTTATTTCATAATTAGACAATAATGACATTTTCAAGTGAGTATATTTTCTATAACATTTTATGCATTTCAATTTATTTAGTAAGTGAAAAAAGTACAGAGATAAGTGTTAATTTATAAAAAGAAAGCTTTATTAAACTACCATCAGGAAAAGAAAAACTATTAAAATGGTTTTAGCATTCATATAAGGCAAAAATGATTCTCTTATTTCCTTGGTCAATGCACACATACATTTCTTTATGTTTGTGAAAAGAGGGCTTTCCATGTCTCACAGATCTATTAATATTCATTTAACCCTGTGTTCAATTATCAGTTGTAATAAGGATTTTATTTTCAAGTTCTCAAAAGTGATGCCACGCATTTACAATGTTCACTATGGTAGGAATTATATGTTTCTAATAGATACACCAGTATGGATCTTAAGAATGGGCTTCAGCGTGTCCATGAATTATCTGAAAACTATATTCCAATGGTTGTGCATGTTTGTATTTTTATAAAGAGAATATTAGCATTTTAAAGAGTCTCTTCCTCTGGTATTTTAAAGTAATTCTCATTTGAGACACTTGTAGCTGAGAAGACGACAAATTATTATGCACTTATGAATCTAACACCCCAGAAGAGACTGACAAAAACTATAAGTAAATGAGTATATAAGTATGGCTTGTCTCATGAAAAAGCAGCTACATCTACTTTACACTCATTTATTCATTAAACATAGTTTAAGAATACAACATAGTAGACTCATGTCTACATGCTGGAGGTAAAGTTGTGAAGAAAAAAAGGGATGAAAATGCTACTCTCATGGAGCTACCTTCTAGAAGTGGAGACAGGCAGTAAACAAAATTAATAAAGTAAATACATCATATATTAGGAATAGAGATTAGTGCTAAAGAGACAAATAAAACAGAATATCAGCCTAGAAACTGTTTGGGGTGGAAGTGAAGGGGTTACAACTTTAGACACAATGGCTAGGGAGGGTCTCACTGAGGCAAGGCTACCTGAAAAATGAATTGAAGAAAGTGCTTTAAAGCAAATTATTAGATATCTGAAGAATAAATCAGACAGAGGTAAAGAAGTCAAAGGTGGTTACATGAATATATTCAATTTCTATTGCTGCCATGACAAATTACCAGAAATTTATCAGGTTTAAAAGCGACAGATGTGTTATCTTACAGTTCTGCATTTCAGAAGTCTATCAGCAGTCTCACTTGGCTACAATGAAGGTGTCAGCAGGGCCACATTCTTTCCTGAAGGCCCTAGGGGAAAATCCATTTCTTTGCATCTTTCCCCTGATTCTCAGAGGCAGTATACATTACTTGGCTCATGGTCCTCTTCCTCCATCTTCAAATTCAGCAGTGAGTTTGCATATCTTCATGTCTTTCTTCTACTGTCACATTTCTTTGACCAGAGCCCAGAAAGGTTCTCTACTTTTAGAGACTCATGATTATGTTGCATAATCTAGGATATTCTCTTCATTTTAAGGTACTTACCTTAATCACATCTACAAAGGCCCTTTTGCCATAGCTTTCTATGAAGTAGGAGCAGAGTTCTGATTCTGACAATTTTGCCAGTATTTTTGTTTCTTTTTGAAATGGATTTATGGAGGGCTTCACTCTTCCACTCAAGGAGTCTCACCCTTGCTGCTGTCTGGAGTATGGAGTAGAAGGAGTCATTGATGGAGGGAGCCTACAATCAGGTGGCAAATGCAGTGCTCCAGTGGAGAACAGTGATGCCTTGGATCAGGTAGTTGCTAAGTTGTAAAAGGGAGAATTGCAGGGACTTGTGCTACCCTTCTCATAGACTTACTCTATACATCTTATAACACTTATTTTCTATCTCATTCAATCAAAGATATAAGAGAAAGCCATAAAATGTTTATGCTTTCACTTTACCAATATGACTAATTCGAGGGATAACAAGGTCTAAATCTTATGAATGTATCCAAATGTTAATAGCTACTTTTAACTCTCAGTTGATAAACGATAGAAACTTACTTATATTAGCAGCATGTCTGCATGTAAACCGATCCAGATGTTTATTTGGATTTCTCTTTACCTGGACATGGGTTTTCAGTTATTGTATAATACCCAGGCACTTGTTATATTCACACCTTTCTCTCCTCAGTGCAGGTGCACACACAGTGTAGACAATTATCAGCCTCTCTGTAATCCTTAGGCTTTCTGGACTAGGGAAACCCTGCTTTATGTAATCAGCTATATTTATTTTGTTCTTCATGTCCTCTAAAAATGAAACGAATTTTGACTCAGCTTGAGTCAAAGCATTACTGACAAAAACATTGTCAAATATATTTCTAAATATAGAGTGACCAACTGAGGGATTTTCCACTCTAGAAACACATTTTGGTACACATTCCTTTGGAAACATATTCTCAAACACTAATATATTATTTTTTTTAAACCAATGCCTATTCAAGTATCATGTCATCTGTTCCATTCTGTATATTGTAAACCTCAAACACTGATGACCTCACTCAATATTAGAGACTAACACAATCTAGAGAGCAGAAATAATATTAGAATTATTGTATATTTCACTACTTTTCTTCTAATTAGGGATAAAGTTGACCAATACAAGTTTTAGTGGAATTGTACATTTTTTGAATGTATGGAGAAGTCTGTTCTAAGTCAAATCTATAAATGTTCTGTATACAAATTACTGTAATAAAACCCATAAGATAATTTGAACAAAAGCTGAGTAAACAATTGTTTTCTCTTGTATGACTTTACATTTATCTCTGATCATGACTAGATTTCTTTGCATTAAACAAAATGATTTTGACCTTACAATTGAAGACTTTTCTTCAGACAATAGATGTCTTAAATGAGTTATTTGTTGTAGTATAATTTTTAAAACATGTTATAAATTTAATAACCTAACGCCAGTGTTTAGTAGTATATTCATTCCATTTTGTACTTTGGATAAAATATTTATCCAAATGTAACAGTATATTGCTATTCTGGAATGTTCACTGAGTAAGCAGTAGAAAGGTAAAAGCAGAGAGAACAGCTGACACATAGGGCCTAAAGTTCAACCAGAGCTGTGGTGGTAGAAGCCCTACCCAAGAAACTACCCCAAAGAGCCAAAACACCAAGAAGTTTTTCTTCATTTTTATACCTTGTATGTATCTATGCTCGGCCTGACCTTTGCGTCTTCCCGTCACTCATATCTCTGGTTAAGTTGGGAGTCCCATAGCTGTTGTCTCTCCAGGAAATCCATGAATGCTTCTACCTAATACTTCTAGAACTCAACAGAATCCAAGAGTAAAAAAAAAAAAAAGTCTTCCTAGTTCTCTCTACTATAAATTATGTCTAAATCTATCACTTACGATATCCAGTCACTTAAAATGAAAGGCAATTTATTTGTAAAGCAGTGGCATATAGTGTGCTTGTCCATTCACTTCTTTTCGCCTCAGAACAAAGGAAGAGTATTTCATAAATTTTTACCATAGTTTTGTGGATTATCCAATGGAGAAATCATTATTAGTATGTTGGCAGGTAACCTTTTGGGGATAAATTTGTGTGACTAAACATTACCAGGCCCTTAATCATCTTCTCAGAGAAGGCATGAAGAGCAGTAGTATGTTCTAAGCTGCTGTATCCCACATGAGCAGAAGAAAATTTTCCAATCATTTCTCATTTGCTGAATATTATGTACTAATCATCACTGGCCTGTTCTTCATTTATTCTTTGTTAGAAGATCATTACTTATGGACAGCTTGTCTCTCTTACTCTCTCAGTCTCTCTCTCTCTCTCTGTGTGTGTGTGTGTGTGTGTGTGTGTGTGTGAGCTTTCTGAAAATTTCCTTGTCCTTCCTGTTTATCTCAGTGGAGCTCTGGTACTTATTTACTCTAACACTCATAAAGTGGTTAACAGGGGGATTTTTAATTGGCTTTGTTCTTCCTTATGCATTTCCCCTGCCCCCTTGAATTTTTATAATCTTTATATAGAATAAATATTTCAAATATTTCTCCCACCACAGGACATTTTTATACATTATTACTGCTCTAAATGACCTCTGAGATACTAGAAGGTAGCTATCCAGAGGTAGCTTGGAGACAAGTTAGGCTCTTTTACAGACAAAAATACTTAAACGTGGACAATTGCAGGAACTTGCCCAAGTTTTGACAGTGTGTTAAGGGCAGAAGCAGGCATTGCCCTTACATCTACTATAAGCAATTCAGAGTTTATTAGATGCCATGTCACTCAAATAACACTTACTCCAATGCCTACTCTTTAGTTAATGTACCAATTTAAATTGTGCCAACGAACAGCAGGAAAGCATGCAAAATGTCCTCCAACTAAAGCTAGTTCCACTATGGTATGCATATGCACACTGCATGCATAAAGTGTAAATGAAATGAGAGCAGTGTCAATATAAAAGACATGATTGTCATAAAACCTATTTAACAAAGTAAGGTATTCCTAGAACTTTGACAAACTGAAAAATGAAATCAAGAATAATTGCTACCAAATGTAATAAGCCACTTACGGAAATGATTCACCCTAAAAGAACAGAGAGAAAATAGGTAAAGAGAAAACTTCCATCAGAGTAACTAAAGCAGTCTCAGTTATCACCAGCTTTAGCCTAATCATAACAAAAGAACAATGCTGTAGCTTAATCAATTCTAGAAATGGATAATGTTTATAATCAGTAGCAGTTATATTGCAACCTGTCTGAAGAAAAAAATATGTTACGATAAGAAGGTTCATCAGAACAGTACTATTATTTGTTTGTACGAAACTTTCTCATTAAAATTCATTACTTTGGCCTCATTCTTTTCCATATAGACTCTTTATGAACATATCTGCTATGTTCTTCAAGAGCACAAGATACTGGGAAGAAGGATCCAGTATTAATTAGAAAAAAGAAGCCAGAGATTGTATGATCTATTATTTTAACCTGTGTCCATAAGAAATGTAAATCTGTATATCATGAACAGAAATTTATTCTTCTAACAAAGAATAAATGAAGAACATTAAAGAAGAATCTTCTATTCTGAGGCATAAACAATATATAAAGTTTAGTTGTTGCCTGGATAAAATATACCTAATGACTGCTCACCTCTCCCTGATATTTCCATATTCACTGTATCTGTTCACCTCATTGCCAAGTTGGCCTTTCAGATGCTCTATTTTTAGGAGCACAGTGATTTGAGGGGTAGGAGGGAGCATCTAGTATTCTGGTGGCTACAAAAAAAAAGGTCCTATTGTAAGTTAATAGGTATTTTGCTTAATATATTTTGAATTTTTCTAGCATTAATAACTTTACATTAGTTTTCTTGCAACTCTGAGGTATAGCCCATGAAATATATTTATTCCACTCTGTGTATCCCCACATGTGAAATCCTACACTGTACCCTTTCAGCTCCTCATAAATGCTTCCATAAAACTGCTGTAGAGTTTTCTCAAGTCAAGAAGTTGTGAAACGGATGTGAGAATTTTTTTTTAAGTGTGGGGGAAAAAAAACAGCATAAAAAAGAAAACTGACTCTATTTATTTGTGTCTCTTAAATGCTGTCAAAACTCTTAAACTCTTTCCTTTGGCTTCCTTCTCCCTCATACAGACTTTATTAACATGATTGCCACCTTATTTGAGATGGTAAGCTCCTGAGAGATAAGAATTCAGTATTAATCTTCCTTGTTTTTCTATCATCTGAGATAATGCCTGACATATAATAGCTACAAAATAAATACTTAATGATGAGAAAATAAATGAATGAATTTAAGTTCCTGAGAGAATAAAACAATCCACTCTTACTTACAGAGTTCATTATGCTTACAGGATCTCTGAGTAATTGTTATCAATAACAAAGAACATTATTGCGTATTAAATATAATCCTGTTTATATAATGAGCAGTTATACTCTCTCTGAACTAAAACTGTCTTTTTTATTAGCAAATGTTGAAAATTGAAATAACATTTGTGGTAATTTATTAATGAAGACACTAAAGGAGGAAGATAATTATAATTATGCATAAATTTAAAAGATATGGGGAGAAGGGAGAAAATCCAGATAGTTTTCTTCTTGCATTGAATTGCTCCAGAGTTCTGATTCAAAATGCAGGAGTAATAAATTGGAAGTTTGCCTTATGTGGTTGATCAGAAATGTCTTGAAATTTTAAACAGCTTGCTTCATAATTAAGGAGTATCGACTGTCTTTACTTCTATTACTCTTGGACATTAGACACAGTATAGTCCAATGTTGATCATTTATTGCAACATCTGCATAACTGCATAAGAGGAAACAGTCATTGTTGGACATAATAGTACTACATTATGGTACATTAAAATTGCAGACTATTGAAATTTAGCAGGTGTTTTCCCAGTAGATGTTTGTGATAAGAAAAAGATAATTTCTCTCACATTCAAGTAGGCTAATGCAATAATTAAGAAGATAGTAGTTTAAAAATTTATAAAGCTCCCATTCAGTCAAACTGAGTCCTTGACTATGACTCCATAATCATGTCTTAATGGGTTCTGTTGAATGGCTGGGTATCAGCTATCTGTGGTTTTCGTAATTTATATTGTCTGACCATTAAGGACTTCCCAGTATTTTCATACTTCCTATCAGCCTGCTTCTTGTCTTTTTTCTTGTAAAGTGACTTGACTATTCTGAGTATCATGTGTCCATCCTCCCTTTACATTCTACAGAAGGTATAAATGTTCTTTAAAAGTAAACATTCAGGAAAAGTCCTGGAGGAACTGATTGCTGGATCATTTCACTTACATTGAAAAAGTTTTACTACCTCTAACAAAATAGCCATTTGGAGCTACCACATCAGTTCTCCTAGCTGCCTTTATGATGTACTTTTAAAGAATTTCACCTCCAGATTTTAGATCATTGAGGGAAAATAACACAAGTTACAATTATTATTTTCTACTCCTTCTAGTCCAGGATCAGTATTTTTACCATGACATTCTTGTATCCACCTCCCAGGTATTTTTGAAAATGTAATACAATATTTTAGTGACTTCTGACTTTAGTAATAATGATGATGATGATGATGATGATGATGATGATAATAACATAATGTCTCCAAAGCAGACATCCAAGAAAGCTCATGTTGGTATGACTGAAACTGGTTTGATTTTTAAAGCAAGTTTCCATCTGGCCTAAATCTCTACAGTATCAGATAGCTGGCAATCGTTTCCCCTACCTGTTTGGCTCAGCTTAAAAGTCCAACATTAAAGCCTCAGCTGGAACAGCAGGCGGGAAAGTACACTCTGGCATGTGTAGGTTTAGCCAGCTCCAAATGCCAATGTGAACCCAAGGCCACAGTGCTCTGTTCAGAGACATGTCACCTACCAAACTTTAAAATTCACAACACATTTTAAATTTAGTAAACCACTATACTGAGAAAGAAAATGTTAGCCCTTATTCCGACGCAAACTGAAATAGCTCAATTTAACTATTTCTGGTGGCTCTATTCAATTTCTCAAACACTTACTCTACATATACTTTGTGCAATATAATATGATAGTTATAAGAGCGGTGGAGGTGAGAGAACACAAAGCAGGAAAACAAAACAAAGCAAAGCACAAAACCTGACTTCAAGGTGCTTACAATACAGTGGTTTCCTTGATAGATACAGTAATAAAATACTTTATACAAAGTATAATTTGTATAATTTTCTTATTATTTGACTTTGTTGTTTGTTAGTTGAAGGCAAAATATACTAAACTATAATGAACATTCACGAAAACAATAAGCAATCATAAATGGTAGCTAGCTGATGGTAAGCTTTACGAATGAGGCGGAATTTTAAGAAAAGGTGGAAATCAAGAAATCGAAAGAAGGTAAAAATAACACAGAGTAAGAAGTATAAAGCAGGACCATGCAAAATATGTGAAGGGAACATCAAGGTGTCCAGATTGGCAGAAGTGCAGCATCCATGGAAAAGAATAACGAGAAATGAATCTGGAGAAGCAGGTGGAGGAATCCAGATCATTGAGTGCCTTAAATTCAGCCTGACAAGTTTGAACTGTAGTCAGTGAAGAGTTATTAGCTGTTTTCATTTTGTTTGTTTTTAGCAGGTGGGTTAAATTATCAGGGTTCTATTTTAGAAAGAATAACTTCACAGTCTTGCACAGGGTGGAATAAATGGGAACGGAAGGAAAACAGGAGGCCATTACTCTATCCTGTGCAGAAACAAGCCCTGAATTGAAATGATGGTAGTAAAAACAGGAAGGGAACTAATGTGAATAAAATTATTTCCTTTTTTCAGACCTTGAAAGAAAATCTTTTCACATTTACATGTGCAACTATTACCTTGTCATATTTTAACAACGAAACTGAGTCACTAACATTTACTGCAGTAATTTATCTTGCAATGTACTGAAAAAGTTTGCTTGCAATGTGAAATTTTACTTTCTATGTAGTCTTTTGATATGTAAAAATGTTCTGAATTTTAAAATATTGGAACTTAAGAATGTATTTGGTGGCCAAACATATTCTCAAGGTTTTATGTTTGTTATCTTTCAAATGTATTTTTAAGGATCACCTTTTTATCCCAAACTAGTAGCTGAAAGGCTACAATAACAGAAGCCATATACAAGTGGGGTAGAAAACCACTAGTAAAGAAGAAACTAAATACTAGAGGCAAAGCTAACTTAAATGATGGACTGGAGAGCTGGTGTAAATGTGTTAGGAAATTGAGGCCTAAAGATAAGGGCTAGCCATCTGAAAGTATAGAACTCAATGAGGTAGACAGGAGTGCTTCATTCATTCATTTATTCATTTATTCACTATCATCTCATGACTTTGCCATGGCCTGTGCAAGATATTTGGCACAAAGAAAAGTGACTTTAATATATTTATAATCAGATGTATTAATTCTCTAACATAAAGATTTTGAAATGTTTTAATATTAGAGTATTTGGGGGGTTTTGTTTGTTTGTTTTCTGTTTTTGGAGATGGAGTCTCACTCTGTTGCCCAGGCTGGAGTGCAGTGGTGGAATCTTGGTTCACTGCAACCTCCATCTCCCAGGTTCAAGCGATTCTCCTACCTCAGCCTTCCATGTAGCTGGGATTATAAGCATGCGCCACCACGCCCAGCTAATTTTTGTATTTTTAATAGAGACGGGGTTTCACCATGTTGGTCAGGCTGGTCTCAAACTCCTGACCTCAAATGACCCACCCCCTCAGCCTCCCAAATTGCTGGGATTAGAGGCGTGAGCCACCATGCCCAGCCTAATATTAGAGTATTTATAAAGCATAAGAAAATGCATCAATTCAAAACAATCTTCCAAATAAATATTTTCACTTATAAATCTGTATAATGAATACATAAACAATGGTATGCCTTAGAATATTCTTTAAAGTAGCAAACACTTGGGCACCATGTAAATTTCTAATTATTTTAGTTAGATACATGCTATTTTCATATTAATTACACCCCTAAAAATCATTTTATACTGATCTATTTATCAAAATCATAAAATATTTAATAATATACTATTGTTTATAACATATTGTTTATGTTATAAACAATAGTATATTATTAATTATTTAAGGCAGGGCTAAATTTTCAAGTATAATGTCTGTACACTTTGTCTCTACTGTATATATATATTTATATTTTTAAAATCTCATACATAGATATATGTATATATATAAAGTGTATATATAAAACACACATATAAAACACATATATACATGTGTATATATAAAACACATATGCATAAGACACATACATGGTGCATAAAACACATGGCATAAAACATACACTTAACATACACTATGTAAGTATTGTAAAATATATTAAGGTAATCTTTAGAATGTTTTTTTGTGTTTTTTTTTTGTGCTCTGGAATTTCTCTTTCTGTTTTTTTTTTTGTTTTTTTTTAAATTAATTATACTTTAAGTTTTAGGGTACATGTGCACATTGTGCAGGTTAGTTACATATGTATACATGTGCCATGCTGGTGAACAGCAGTTTTTTTCTGAATGAGTGGCTTAAGAGTGATTTTTCTTTACTATTTTCTAAATATAATTTTGCAACTGGAAAAATAAATACCTATTTTAACCTTGTAAGCTTAAATAACTTTCTATTTTAAGGGATATTTGAACATGTAAAATTTTTCAAATTAAATAATGTGGGCATTCCTTTAGACCAATTTAAATTTCACCAAAGAGTAAAAAGAAAGTACACAATACCTATTCTTACTCCGTTGTTTTACAGTGGGGGAAATCTGTATCACATGTATAGAACAAATACTAATGAAATGAGAACATAACCATAATACATATATGACTGTCATGAAATCCATTTCTATCAAAGTACCTGGGGGCAAGTGAGGTACCTAAAACTTTAACAGGATAAAGAATGAAATCTATTATAATAACAATCAAACATAATAAACTACCTGTGGAGATCACCCACTTTAAGGAGCAATGGATAAAATACTTAGGTTTGGTCAGATTTATCAGAAAGGCTACAGCATACTCATGAAAACATAGTTAAGTGATCGCCAGAGATAATCTAATCTTAATAATAAATGAGGATATCGCATAGTTCATTCTAGAAATAGATGGAGTTTAACATTGCTATAATAGAATTTGCCCTATTAAAAATCCTTTTCCAATATCATCTGCTCTTAGAGGACTTTTTTTTTTTTTTGAGACGGAGTCTCGCTCTTTTGTCCAGGCTGTAGTGCAGTGGCGCCATCTCGGCTCACTGCAAGCTCCGCCTCCCAGGTTCACGCCATTCTCCTGCCTCAGCCTCCCAAGTAGCTGGGACTACAGGTGAGTGCCACCACGCCTGGCTAATTTTTTGTATTTTTAGTAGAGAATGGGTTTCACTGTGTTAGCCAGGATGGTCTCGATCTCCTGACCTCGTGATCTGCCTGCCTCTGCCTCCCAAAGTGCTGGGATTACAGGTGTGAGCCACCGCGCCCGGCCCAGGACCTTTTAACTAAAATATTAAAGGCAAAAAATAGCATCCATGCTGGACCTCATATTTTACAAAATACATTTCATTAACAATGTTTTCTTACTTTTTCTTACTTTTTTTTTTTTTTTTTTTGAGACGGAGTCTTGCTCTGTCGCCCAGGCTGGAGCGCAATGGTGCGATCTCAGCCCACTACAACCTCCGCCTCCCGGGTTCAAGGGATTCTCCTGCCTCAGCCTCCTGAGTAGCTGGGATTACAGGTGTGCGCCACCACGCCTGGCTAATTCTTGTATTTTTAGTAGAGACGGGGTTTCACCATGTTGGTCAGCTGTTCTCAAACTCCTGACCTCATGATCCACCCGCCCCGGCCTCCCAAAGTGCTGAAATTACAGGTGTGAGCCACTGCACCTGGTCTCTTTTTAAAAACTTTTTCTTTTCAGAGAATTGTAGGTTTATATGTAGTTATAAGAAATAATACAGAGCATGAGCATACTCCATAGCCTTCATGCAGTGTTCCCCAGTGGCAACATCTTGCATAACTATATTATCGTATCACAAGCAGGAAATTAACATTACTAAAACCCACTGAATAGATTCCACTTGTTTTATATTCAATCATTTCTGGGCACATATATATTTAGTTCTATGTAATTGTTTGCATGTGTATATTTGTGTCCAACACCATCACATGCAACACCATCAGAGAGCTCCCTCAGGTTACACTGTTATAGCCACAGCCACCTTCTTCCTCTCCTGATCCTGACCTCTGTCAAGCACTGGTCTATTTTCCATTTCTATAATATTGGCATTTCAGGAATACTATGTAAATGTAATTTTACAGCATGTTACTTTTGAGACTGGCTCTTTTCACTCCGCATAATTCCTTTGAGATCCATCAAAGGTGTCATGGTGATCAATAGTTTGTTCTTTTGCTGAGTAATATTCAATTGTAGCAGATACAATGATTCCTCCCACTTTATTAACCTTTTTCAAAACTGTTTTTAACTACTCTAGTTTCTTTGCTTTTCCATATAAATTTTATAATGCTTTTGTCTATGTCTATGTCTAAATAAAACTCACTAGGATTTTAATAAGGACTGCATTAAGCCTACAGACCAATTTTCGGTGAAGTGACACATTTAATATGTTCCAATCCATGAATATAGGATGTCTCTTATTATGTCGTTTATTTAGATTTTTTAAATTTTCTATCATTATCATTTTAAAATTTTAGCATGAGGATTCTTTACATATTTTATTAGATTTGTAACTAAGTTTTCATTTTCAGTGGAGCAATCGTAAATGTTTCACACATACTCATAACCAGTATATAGGAGTGGATTGACTTTGTATGTTGATCTGGTAACATGCACCCTTGCTTAACTCACTTATTAGTTCAAGGAGGTTGGTATTTGTTTGTGTTTTCTTTTTGTAGATTTATTAGGATTATTTGCATAGACAATTATTCATCTATACATAAAGATGGCTGTATTTCTCTCTTTTCAATGTGTATGCCTTTTTTGTGCTCGGTTTTATTATTTTTTGATGTTTGATATTGTGGATAGGTAAGTAACGATACCAATATTTCTAACAATAATATCTGCACAATTTAATTTCTTGTTAGAAAGGACAATTATCAATTTGAATAAGATGAATTATGTAAAGGAAATAATAGTGTAAACATTCTCTAAACTGTTTTATTTTATAATCACCTAAAATCAGTACCCAAAATAACATTAGTAACATTGGTAATGGAGTTCATTTAGCGGGTTCTGCTCAACTGTGGCAAGTATGTAAAAAACAAAACAACAACAACAACAACAAAAAAACCTTTGTTCTCTCAGTGACATTTAATTCCTTAGAAACAAATCCAAATAAACATATCTAGTACTTGAATCTATTAAGGTTTGTAATCTTAATAAAGAAGCTTTTATTTTAATCACTTCAAATAGAAGTGAATCTTATTGCTGAAAATTAATTATAATCAAGAATTTGGATCTATTACAAAATTAAAACTCTATAAATTCTTATTTCTAAATGACTAAATGAGAAAAATAAATATTACAAAAGTTTCATTCTGTCTTATAACAATAACTTCAAAAACGAAATTTAATATAATCCCAGCTTTGCCTTTATATTAGGGAACTCATATATTGCCACACTTGGAATCAGGGCTTCATACAGTGGATTTATTATTAATACATACAGGAGAGCAAGTTCCAAAATGTGGTAGATAAAATATTGGTCAACAGAAATGTTCTAAAGGAAAGATTTTCATTAATTAATTTAGTTTGTAATAAATACATAAAGCATTTTTCTTAAGATTATTTCTACTTTATTAAATTATCTACACAAACCTGCACTACTGAAAACTGTTTAACTTTCTTATAAACTTCCAAGCTACAAGAGGCCTTTACAGTGAATTAATGTCATAATTTTATGTTATCGAGAACTGTTTATTTTGTTTCCATAAAGCTGTATACCCAACGTATTATTCTAAAGTAAACTGCCATAATGAAGGGATTATTTTGAACTACTTTATCAGTTGTCCCTTCATTCTAATCATTACTCTGCTATTTAATTAATATTCCAGAAATAAAATTCCTCTTACCAGAACATTTGCTGCATTTTGTTTTTCTCTTTATACTAATGAAAAGTTAGTTAATGTGTCTCTATTCCAAACAGTATCACACCAATCTTCATGGGAAACTGTCCATGTTATTGTCTTAGCAATAACTAGTTGAGTCATCTTTCAATAAAATCATGTCGAAAAGGTTGACTCAGTTGAATGCAACCCCTGGCTTATATCTCTTTTGGAATGTCTTTGTATTTGCATAGTCATTCCCAGATCTGCTAACTCCAGAACACACTTTTTCTGACTTTTTTTTTTGAGATGGAGTCTCGTCCTGTTGCCCAGACTGGAGTGCAATGGCGAGATCTCGGCTCACTAACCTCCGCCTCCTGGGTTCAAATGATTCTCCTGCCTCAGCCTCCCAAGTAGCTGGGATCACAGGCACCTGCCAGTATGCCCAGCTAATTCTGTATGCTTTTAGTAGAGACGGGGTTTTGCCATGTTGGCCAGGCTGCTATCAAACTCCTGACCTTGTGATCTGCCCCCCTCAGCCTCCCTAAGGGCTGGGATTACAGGCGTGAGCCACGTGCCAAGCTTTCTGGCTTTTAATGACTAACCGAATCAGCATTTGGCATTCTAAAATATAACAAATGTTAAAAGCAAAATAAATTTTCCTTTTATACATATGTTTGAGCTTTGGAATTTTTCTTCTAGGGTTTACAAAATTTCACTTTCTGCTTACATACCTCTCAACAAAGAATTAATAGTTTAAAGCATTGATAAGACATACTAATGAGATAACAAGGTATAAAATATTACTAACATTGTTATGAGGCAAAGTGCACTTTACTTAAACTTATTTTCTTCGGTTACTTAAAGAAAACTCCTTTAATCATTCTAATACGTTTTGAATTTTATTTACAGATCACATAAGATGCCTTCCCAATAAGCCGAGGAAGTAGCTGTGTTTGCATCTGAGAAATATCTAGACTTCTTAGTACATACAGACCTAGAGCAGATCATTCCATTAAATACTCAAGAACAAGCCTGGTAAGATTTTCGAAAATGCAGGTATTGAGACCAACTAAATAGAATGGGGATTTTGCATGAATTTGCTCAAGGAATTAAGGGTTAGGAATTAAATGATGATTAGAGCTATAAGGAAATGTGTAGATAATTCTCTCGTTCTGTCATTCTAAGGAAAAAGCTATGATTTTTGCTTGGTTATTTACAAATAAAATTAGCTTAACAAAGTTCATAGAAAAATTATCTAAACATACTAGCCTAGCATGCAGCTACCTCACTTGGGACCAGATATTCAGCCACTCATAACATGCTCTGGAATTCTTGGAATCTTCAAGTTGGAAATCTGATTGGGCAGTTGAGACTACAGGTTGGAGAGCCTCTGGATTTCATAACTCCTTGAAAAATATGAAGATGTATTATTGCCACCATGTGTAAATGCCTCAAATTTAATGCTGAGGGTAGTTTGACTCTTTTATTTGCAAATAACAAAAAAACTTGTCAACGTATCTCAAATAATTTAGAAGTTGTAAGAATCAACATTGTGGTGCATACATACTAAATTCTCTTTCCAGTCCATCTACTCCAAAAACTACCCTCTTTTAACATGGGTGTCACTCCCCACATCTTTGTTCTTCCCAAGGAATCATCAATGGTACACCTAAAAAAGGTAGACTAATCAAATATTTTTTCCTATGAATAAATAATTTTAAACTAAATGATAGACTGGTTTTGCAGGACCTGTGTTATATTAATGTTAGCATATTAAGGAAAGTTTTATAAAATTTTGCTTTTCCCCTGTCTGGTGGCCCAACTCTTTGATGGAATGGAATATATAATAGGCCTAAGTGTACCACGATAAATTCATATTTTTACATAAGTCATTTGTAACCAAAAGAATCTTAAATTACACGTATGGACATGCAAATTTATAAAATACTGAACAATCAAAGCTGAACAACATGAACTGAGAGAAATATGAAACCTGAATAAAACTGGAATCTATGGAAATACTGACTCTAAAATTTTCACTCCATGCTCCACCATTGATGAGGCTCAGCTAAATTTGTAGTCCTTCTTTGGGTAAATTTATGATAGGATATCTCAACCTCTACTATTAATTTTTCCACTGAAGCAGAATTTCAGCTTTTTAGAAATTATGATTTGTTGTAATCCCTTATAGTCCTGACTTTCTACCTATGACTTCTTCTTAGCTTACATTCTCATTGCTAACTTGTTTTCATTTTCATCAAACTAGTTAAATGTCTAAGAAGGAAAATTGCTATTTCTTGTCTCGGTTGCCATGGATAGGTGGCCAACCAGTGGACTGACTGCCCTTAAGTTAACTGATGGTCCCTTGTAGATTCAACTGTGAGAACTCAGTGTTTGTAGAGTTCACCCATTTCACCATAGTCTAGGATATAACTGGCCTTTTTGAGGCCTGTCTAGTAAAATGGCAGAGTTATTAACCACAGAAGCCTTAGAATTAGAAAGGGTTGAGCTTAAAGGAAAATTATTCCAAAGCTAAAATTAATTTTGTTTTAATATAGAATGGCAGCATAGTACCTTCCTTGATATTAGGGTTATAATAATTTTTGCACTTACCAGATGTTAAGGTTTTGACTTAGCCACTAAATATTGAATATCATCATAGAGATCCAAGATTACATAATTTCACAGATAAATTATTCTTGCTGTTGGTTTACAGTTGACTAGCCACAATTTTTAGCCTGTTGTCATCAAAACATTTAGGTCACCAGACAACTGCTGCTCCTCTAGATATATTTATATTGTTGGCCAAAACTAGGAAGGAAAGTACAAGAGACCTTATCCTTGTGGAACTTTGTCTTTTTATTTGAGAATAAAAGCCTCTTTTAGAATTTGTATCTACACAGCATTGGCCAAAACTATGTCATATGGCCATCTGTAGCTATGATGGACACTGAGAGGTCAAATAATTTGCCTTCTCAGTCAGAAGTATAAAGGAAGATAAGAGAAAGGAGTTATAAATGGCTTTGGGAAACCTAACCACAGTATCTGCCTCAACAATATTAAGTTCCTCAGAAAATGGAAGATTCTAGTAGGAAGGGTAATGTCAGTAGATAAATGGAGTGGAATATGAGGAATGTGGTCTAGATATGTCCAATATTTCTCATGTAAAAAAATACCTGATTTCAGAAAAAATTATTTGGTTGCTTTTCAGCTGCATTTTAAATCTTGTAAGCTGAAGATGCATGTATCCAGGTGTCTTAAAATCACAATAAATGTATTTTGTAATGCATATGAAAAGATAAAGCCTCTCATGAATCTTAAATTTATTGTTAGATGTTTGTTTTGTCTTGCTTGAAAAACACATTTATTTATTAAAATGGGTAAATATCAGAGTCCCATAGAACAATGAAACAATAAGCTATAATCCAAATGTGGATTAATCAAACTAAATGTGGATGGTTTGTATACATTACTTAGTCCAATGTTGCATAAAGTGGAACTCTACATCTAAACACTTCTTACAATAAATATATCATTGACTAAAATATAGTACTGTTTTTAAAAATTGTTTTATAGCACAAATGAACAACTCAACGGCATGTTCCCTATCTTAAACATTAGTAAACTGTGTAATTTATTGATAACTTTGTGTGAAATAGAATATTCCAACAGCCCAAAGCAGGCTCCAAATCCTTTTAAAAATTTTTTTCTCCAAATTTCTTTGTAGCCATGCTGCCACCAAGGATTCTAACTTCCTTCAAATTGCTCATGTAGCATGTGGCCTGGCCTTGCTTTCTCCAGTCTCCTTTTTATGTTGCATTTTGTTGGAGGGACTTTGAATTTCTCTCTACTTATTACAAAGAGTTGTTCCCCAGCTCCTATCTAGTACTTACATCCCCACACCAATCATATTGCTCTGGAAACTCTCTCCAATTAACAGTATCTACTCTTCTTAGAAAGCAAGGAGAAGTTATAAATAGGATTTCATTTGTTAAACTAGAAAATCAATCTTATCATTTCCCTTTAATAATTTTCTCTTCCACTAACTCACTACCTCATCTGCATGTATCTTGATCATTTTTCACTGGAGAAGTAACCAATGAAATAAAAAATAGGAAATAAATAGATGAAACAGAAAGCCAACTCTTTGAAAAGGCCAACAAAATTGATAAATCTCCCAGCAAAATAACAAACAAAAAAGAGAAATAATATAAATTATGAATATTAGAAATGAGAGTATCATAATTAATCCCATGGACATTAAAATAATAAAGGAATATTATAAACAATAGTATTCCCACATAGATAAAATGGACCAATTCCTTAAAGACACAATCTATAAAACTTATACAAGAAGAAATAGACTATTTGAATATCTATTAAAGAAATTGTATCAATAATTAACCATCTTCCAAAATGGAAAGCACCAGTCTCAGATGACTTAATTGTTAAATTCTATCAGACATTTAAAGAAGAAATGACATTGAGCACCTTTTCATGTACCTGTTGGCCATGTAAATGTTTTCTTTGGAAAAATGTCTATTCTGGTCTTTTGATCATGTTTTTAATTGGGTTATTTGGTTTTTGCTATTGAGTCATAAGTACTCCTTTTATATTTTGGTTATTAACCGCTTAGCAGATACATCGTTTGTAAATAGTTTCTCTCATTCCATAGGTGGCTTTTTCAATTTTACTGTTTTCTTTGCTGTGCAAAAGTTTTTTAGTTTGAGTTGTTCCACTTCCTTATTTTTGCTTTTCTTGCCTGTGCTTTTGGTCTCATGTCCAAAAAAATAATTGCTGAAACAGTAAGATATCATCTCACACCTGTGTAGGATGGTTATTATTAGAAAGACAAGAGGTAAGAAAAGATGTGGAGAAAAGAAAACCCTTATACAATGTTGGTAAAAATGTAAACTGGTATAGCCATTGTAAAAAGCAGTGTAGCAGCTCCTCAAAAAGATTAAAAAATTACCATGTAATCCCAATTCTGGTTATATAGGCAAAAATAAATAAACCAGTGTCTCATATATCTGCACATATTTCCACTCCTGTGGTCATTGGCAGCATTTTTCACAATCGCCGAGATATGGAAACAACCTAAGCGTCCATCGATGGCAGAAAGGATAAATAAAATGAGGACATATAATGCACATTATTCATCCACAAAAAGAAAAAAATCCTTCATTTATGGCAATATGTATGATCCAGGAAAGCAATACGCTAAATGACATGAACCAGACACAGACAGACAAATACTGTTTGATCTCATATATATGTAGAATCTAAAAAATTTGAAATCATAGGAATAGAAAGAACAGCGTTTGTCAGGGGCTAAGGGATGGGGAAAATAGAGAGGTGTTTCCCAAAAGGTACAAACTTTCAGATATAAGACGAATAAATTCTGGGGAAGCTAATGTACAGCATAAGTTGATGTGTTAACTAATGTGGTTGTGGCAATCATTTCACAACGTCTATGTATATCAAATCTTCACATTATATGCCTTGAATATATACAATTTCTATTTTTCAATAAAAGATTTCAAAATAAAAATATGAATTATGCCAATTCTCTATGATTCACTTTTATGTAGGTTTAACGTAGAATATTGTTTCAAAAAATTAAAAGAAAATTGAAATTTTGTTAGTAATTTCTCCTTAATTTTATTAATTTCTTAAGGCTTTTTGGAAATATGTATAGTCTCCCTATTAAAGAAACCTATACCAATAAAAATTTGGATATATAAAAGAGAGAAAATGAATTATATATGAATATATTAGAAAAGACATATTTCTTCAGAATACCTCTCTTTTCAAGGTTTTGAGAGACTAATACATATAATGCCTGAAAACAGAGTAAGGAGAGAAATTATTCCTGAAGCAAACATTTCTGACTTTAAAAATAAGCTTTAAAAGAGTTAGATGTTACAAAGAAAACTAAATACACTAATGTTTTGGTAAGTCATATAGAGGCTGAAAAATGTCTCGATGGGCATTTTTTTTTAGTTCTGTTACAGTAAAGTGTTATCATTTTGTGTTTCTGCTTTTCTCAAAGTTGATTATAGTGTGAATAAATCAATATACAACATTTCTTAACAATGACAATTGATGGAATTGCATATATTATTGCATACCATGAAAGTTCTATAATATTCAAAGTTATTAATGATTACTTAAATTATTTAAATAGTATGGATAATATTTCTAGAAAAATATTGTAAAAATATTGCACCTCTCAAACTATTTTTTCTCTGCTGTGTGACACACAAACTCTCAGGTTCAAGGCCCTCTCATACAAATTTCAGTTTTGCTAAACAAAATACTTTCTTTACTCTCAAAGAATATCTGAATGTCATTGAAGATGACATTATTGAAGAAATAACTCGAATAAAGAAAAAGGAGCATTAACCTTGACTATGCCTTTAGCTCCAGCCACATTTTTAAGAGGAAATTGTTGGGCAGGTGGGGGAGGGCTAATCGCGGAACGAAACTGTAAGCCAGACCGGGTGTGATGAGGGGAGGCGATAGAAGGATTATAGGGTGGGGAAGTGGAGGCTGAGGAAGAATTGGGACCTGGCTCAGCCTGGCGAGGAGTAGCCTGGGGAGGAGGGGAGAACTCAGATGGGTCCGTAGAAAAGGAGGATTCAAAAGACTCAGAGCTTGGGGTGGAGACTGAAGGAACAGACAGGAGAGAAAGAAGAAAGATTTGGGACTAGTCACATTGGGAGCAGAGAATAGGGAGGGACCAATGTGTAAAAGAATGCCTGGACGTCAGGCAACTCAGACCATTTGCCCATTTTACAACAAGAATTATCAGATCTTATAGGATGGAGAAATTGAAAGTGCCGTTTTCTGGCTTTTTGGAACCATTGTCGAGTTTGTACTGGGGTCAAGCGGCATTGCAGAAGAAAATAAGGTGTTTAGGTTTTAGGTCAGGTGTGAGTTGAAGAGGTTTTAAGTTCTTGAGAACACAGGCTAAGGGAGAAGAAGGAGGAATGGAGGGTGGAAGTTTGCCCATAGTGAAGGAGGCAAGCCCAGAGAAAAGAGAGGGTAGAGACACAGAGAAGGGGAGTGGTGAGCAGCCCTGGGCTGCAATGTGGGTGAGCAGCCAAAGCAGGCATCCCCACAATTGAATTGCCACCAAGGGAATGTGGGTGAATGACCAAGGCAGGTGTCCCCACAGTGATCAGACACCAGTGGAGTGTGGGTGAATAATCAGGCAGGCATCCCTGCAGTGATTAAACACCAAGGGAAGACTGTCTTCCTGAGTCCATGACTGGCGCCGGAGTTTTGGGTCCACGGATACAAAGTGTCTCCTTTGTCTCTACTAGAGAGGAAAAAGAACTGGAATTGGAAGGACAGGGAGATTGAAGGGTAGCAAGAGAGGCTGGAGAAGAAAGTGAAAAGACTGCTTACCCGATATGAAATTGGTGAGATGTTCCTTGGGCTGGTGGGTCTGAGGACCCAAGGTCATAGGTGGATTGCCTCACGGAGTGATGACGAGGACAGGGTACCAGTCTCCTGAAGGAGTCTTCCTGTCCAGGTTTTGGCACCAAATGTCATGTGTGTCCCTGTGAGGAGACAACCAAACAGGCTTTGTGTGAGCAATAAAATTTTTTTTTTTTTGGAGACGGAGTCTCACTCTGTCGCCCAGGCTGGAGTGCAGTAGTGAGATCTTGGCTCACTATCAATGAAAATTTTCAATCACCTGGGTGCAGGAGGCTGAGTCTGAAAAGAGTCAGCAAAGGGAGATAGAGGTGGGGCCATTTCATAGGATTTGCGTAGGTTGTGGGAAATTACAGTCAAAGGGGGTTTTTCTCTGGCAGGCAGGGGTGGGGGGAGGGGGGTCACAAGGTGCTCATTGGGGGAGCTTCTGAGCCAGGAGAAGGAATTTCACAAGGTAATGTCATCAGTTAAGGCAGGAACTGGTCATTTTCACTTCTTTTGTGATTCTTCAGTTGCTTCAGGCCATCTAGATGTATACGTACAGGCTTGGGCTCAGAGGCCTGACATCAATAGGCATTTTTTTTTTTTTTTAGTTCTTTTACAATAAAGTGTTATCACTTTACATTTCTGCTTTTCTCAAAGTTAATTATAGTGTGAATAAATCAATATACAACATTTCTTAACAATGACAATTGATGGAATTGCATATATTACTACATACCATGAAAGTTCTACAATATTCAAAGTTATTTAACATTTACATAAAATATTATTTAAATAGTAGAGATAATATTTTTAGAAAAATATTGTAAAAATATTGCATCTCTCAAACTATTTTTTCTCTGCTGTGTGATACACAGACTCTCAGGTTCAAGGCCCTCCCATATGAATTTCAGTTTTGCTAAATATAACAAAACACTTTCTTTACTCACAAAGAATATCTGAGTATCACTGAAGATGACATTATTGAAGAAATAACTTGAATCCACTTAAATATGTTTAAAATACAAATTATTCACTATATTATTTATTTTTTGAGAAAGAAGAAAATCGCTTTCAACACAATTCACAACTGATTGAGCAAAAACGTGTAATACTTAATACAAAGATTAATTGTAATGACACTGTCTAAAGTATTCCATTTTTAAAGAAAAGTGAGTTCTAATAAGACATACCTATTTTTAAAACACATATTAATTATACATATAGAATATATGAAAAACTACATTGATACCAACTCATATTCCTTTCATCACTTTTAATTTTAATTTCAATGACTCAAGTTCTTATATTTTATTATTTCATAGCCTCTCTAGAATTATTTCTATTATTCTCCTTATAAATTTGAAATCCTTACCAACTATGAGAAGTTGATATTTGATTATTACATTCCTGGAGACAAGATAATGAAAACATTCTTCAGCCACATATAAAGGAAATGAAAAGAACTGTAGTTAATTTTACATGAAATTCAAGGGAGAAAGGTAGAAAAACAAATGTTAGTGACTAAAGATATTCAGATACTGAAACATGTGCTATCGTCTATGAAAAAATTGCTTTTGTTTGTTTGTTTTTTTATCATTGAATATTGCATTAGTTTGCTCAGGTTGCCATAATAAAGTACTACAAACTGAGTGGCTGAAAACAAATGTATTGTCTCATAGTTCTGGAGGATAGGAGCCCAAAATCAAGGTACAAGCAGGGCCATGTGCCCTCCAAAGTCTCTAGAGAAGGATCTTTCCTCATCTCCTTCTGCCTCTTGTAACCCCAGGGATTCCTTACATTGTGGCAGCACAATTCCCATATCTGCTCCCATCTTCATATGGCTGCCCTCCCTCTGTGTCTGTGTCTCTGCATCTTCCCATGGGAGTCTCTCTGTTTTCTCTTCCCTTAAGGACACCAGTCATATTAGATTAGGGCTCACCCTAATCAACTGTGACCTTATATTAATTTGAATATATCTACAAAGACCTTATTTTCAAAGAAAGCCACATTCACAGGTACCAGTGGTTAGGATTTTACCATATCCTTTTGGCAGGGGCGCAATTCAATCCATAAAATATATTATTTACTGTTTTGTTCTGTAAGATATGGATTACATTAAAATAAAACTATGTAATGATAAATCATATATATTGTTATAAAAAAACAACTAGTATGACTTTGTCAGCATTATTTTTCAAAGCTTCTAAGGTCAAACAACAAAAGCATTAACAATGGAATTTTTGAGCTTTTTAAATTTAACTCAGATGGGCATGTGCACAAAAAAGAATTAAGCTATTAAAACATGGTAAGAAGTCAACATATTTTAGAGGCCTAAGTCATGTCTTGGTCTTTCTCTGACAGATTCACTCTTTTTCTGTAATGCTAACTGTACTCATTTATGTATACCATAGGAGAGAAAGTAAAGAAAACTGGACTATCTAAGTTAGTGGTTCTCAAACTTTAGAAAATACGTAAATCACATGAAGAGCTTGTTAAAACACAGATACAAGGTTTCTATCTACATATTTTCTGATTCCATAGTCTAGGGTAGAATCTAGGAATTTGTACCAGTCTAGATTTAGTGTAGGACATAGAAACGACTCTAGCCATTTTAAACAGAGAGGCATTTTAATAAAATTATATTTCCAAAATACTTAGAATTAATTAAGGAGTGATAATCAGGGGACTGCCACTGGACATGTGATTTCAAGAATATATTATTGCAGTGGCTGACAATCCAGTGGTTCAAATGCTGCCACTCCACACCACAGGTACCATCATTGAAAGGGGTAATGAACTAGCAGAATGCAGGGCCCAACCACTACCAAAATGTTTGATCTTCACAGCATGTGTGTCAATTGGCATCAACACAAGCCAACAGAAATATTACTTGTCCCTCTGTTATATAGGTACACTTTTTCACTCGCGTCCGTGTGAAGAGACCACCAAACAGCCTTTGTGTGAGCAACAAGGCTGTTTATTTCACCTGGGTGCAGGCGGGCTGAGTCCGAAAAGAGAGTCAGCCAAGGGAGATAAGGGTAGGGCCGTTTTATAAGATTTGGGTAGGTAAAGGAAAATTACAGTCAAAGGGGGGTTGTTCTCTGGCGGGCAGGAGTGGGGGTCACAAGGTGCTCAGTAGGGGAGCTTTTGAGCCAGGATGAGCCAGGAGAAGGAATTTCACAAGACAATGTCATCAGTTAAGGTAAGAACAGGCCCTTTTCACTTGTTTTGTGGTGGAATGTCATCAGTTAAGGCAGGAACCGGCCATCTGGATGTGTACGTGCAGGTCACAGGGGATATGATGGCTTAGGTTGGGCTCAGAGGCCTGACATTCCTGTCTTCTTATATTAATAAGAAAAATAAAATGAAAAAGTGGTAAAGTGTTGGGACGGTGAAAATGTTTGGGGGTGGTATGGAGAGATAATGGGCGATGTTTCTCAGGGCTGCTTTGAGCAGGATTAGGGGTGGCATGGGAACCTAGAGTGGGAGAGATTAAGCTGAAGGAAGATTTTGTGGTAAGGGGTGATATTGTGGGGTTGTTAGAAGAAACATCTGTCATTTAGAATTATTGATGATGGCCTGGATACAGTTTTGTATGAATTGAAAAACTAAACAGAATAAGAGAAGGAGAAAAACAGGTATTAAATGTGTAAGAATTGGGAGGACCCAGGACATCTAATTAGAGAGTGCCTAAGGAGATTCAGCATAGTCCTGCCAGCAAAGATTATTTATTTACTTTAAGAGTTAAGAGTGGCAGTTTGGGGATAGCACCAGGAGATATCAGCTGTGCTGGCTTGGAGAAACAGTGTAAACTGGCAGTGTAAACAAGAGCAGGGCATGTATGAGTAGTTGAGAACGGTGAATAGGAGTATGACTAGACAGAAGATAGTAGGGATGACAAGTTTTTTGGGGCACAGTCCAAGTTAGTCTGGTGTCTGGAATGAGACTGGGGCCTAATAAAAAGGAGTGTCCATACAGGAGCTCAAATGGGCTGTACCCTGTAGCATTCCGAGGACAGGCCTGAATTCTGAGAAGGGCAAGTGGTAAAAGTATTGTACAGTCCTTTTTAAGTTGGTGGCTGAGCTTGGTGAGGTGTGTTTTTAAAAGACCAGTAGTCCATTCTACCTTTCCTGAAGACTGAGGACCGTAAGGGATATAAAGGTTTCACTGAATACCAAGAGCCTGAAAAAATGCTTGGCTGATTTGACTAATAAAGTCCAGTCTGCTATCGGACTGTATAGAGGTGGGAAGTCCAAACTAAGGAATTATGTCTGACAGAAGGGAAGAAATGACCGCGGTGGCCTTCTCAGACCCTGTGGGGAAGGCCTCTACCCATCCAGTGAAAGTGTCTACCCAGACTAAGAAGTATTTTAGTTTTCTGACTCGGGGCATGTGAGTAAAGTCAATTTGCCAGTCCTGGGCAGGGGCAAATCCCTGAGCTTGATGTGTAGGAAAGGGAGGAGGCCCGAACAATCCCTGAGGGGTAGTAGAATAGCAGATGGAACACTAAGAAGTGGTTTCCTTAAGGATAGATTTCCATAATGGAAAGGAAATGAGAGGTTCTAAGAGAGGGGCTAGTGGCTTGTAACCTACATGGAAGAGGTTATGATATGACAACAGAATACAATGGGCCTCTAAGGCTAGGAGATACTTTCCTTGGTCTAAGAACCATTTGCCTTGTGTGGGAAGAGATTGATAGGTGGAAGTTTCAGCGGGGGAGTAGGTGGGAGTGACTGATATGAAGGAGAAAAACTGGCGGTGAGGGACAGAAGTTGGAATGCTAGCTTCTTGTCTAGCCACCTTATCAGCGTAAGTGTTGCCTAGAGCAATGGAATCTGATGCCTTTCGATGGCCCTTGTGGTGAATGACTCCAGCTTCCTCTGGAAGTAAAGCAGCTTTGAGAAGTATTTTCATTAAAGAGGGATTAATGATAGAGGACCCTTGTGTAGTGAGGAAACCTCTTGCATGGTGGTGCAGGATATGAAAGGCATATTTAGAGTCAGTATAAATATTGACGCATAGTCCTTTTGCAAGAGTGAGGGCTTGAGTTAAGGCAACTAGTTCGGCTTGCTGAGAGGTAGTGGAGGGGGGCAGAGCAGTAGCCTCAATGATAGATGTGGAAGATACTATAGCATAGCCTGCCTTTGCTGGTGAGTGGCGGTTAGGCCTGGTGGAACTGCCATCAATAAACCAAATGTGATAAGGGTGAGGAACACGAAAGAAGGAAATATGGGGAAATGGGGTGAATGTCAGGTGGATCAGAGAGATACAGTCATGAGGGTCAGGTGTGGTATCTAGAATAACGTGGGAGGCCGGATTGAAGTCCGTGCCAGGAAAAAATGGTAATTGTGGGAGACTCAACAAAGAGTGAGTATAGCTGAAGCAGCTGGGGATCAGAAAGTATATGCGTCAGGTATGAGGAAAATAGATTTTCAAAGTTATGAGAACTGTAGAGAGTGAGTGGAGCATACTTTGTGATTTTTAGGGCCTTTAAAAGTATTAAAGCAGCGGCAGCTGCTGCATGCAGACATAAGGGCTAGGCTAAAACAGTAAGGTCCAGTTGTTTGGACAGAAAGGCTACAGGGCATGGTCCCAGCTCTTGTGTAAGAATTCTGACCTTACTAACCATGCCTAGGAAGGAAAGGAGTTGTTGTTTTGTAGAAGGGATTGGGGTTTGGGAGATTAGCTGGACACGATCAGCAGGGAGAGCACATGTGTTTTTATGAGAATTATGCCGAGATAGGTAACAGATGACGAAGAAATTTGGGCTTGATTGAAGTAATGGGGGCCGTCTGTAAAGCCTTGGGCAGTACAGCCCAGGTAATTTGCTGAGCCTGATGGGTGTCAGGGTCAGTCCAAGTGAAAGCGAAGAGAGGCTGGGATGAAGGGTGCAAGGGAATAGTAAAGAAAGCATGTTTGAGATCTAGAACAGAATAATGGGTTGTGGAAGGAGGTATTGAGGATAGGAGAGTATATGGGTTTGGCACCATGGGGTGGATAGGCAAAACAATTTGGTTGATAAGGCGCAGATCCTGAACTAACCTGTAAGCCTCGTCTGGTTTTAGGACAGGTAAAATGGGGGAATTGTAAGGGGAGTTGACAGGCTTTAAAAGGCCATGCTGTAGCAGGTGAGTGATAATAGGCTTTAATCCTTTTAAAGCATGCCGTGGGATGGGATATTGGCATTGAGCGGGGTAAGAGTGATTAGGTTTTAATGGGATGGTAAGGGGTGCATGATCGGTTGCTAAGGAGGGAGTAGAGGTGTCTTATACTTGTGGGTTAAGGTGGGGAGATACAAAGGGAGGATGTGAAGGAGGCTTTGAACTGGGGGAAAAGGCGGCAATGAGGTGTTGCTGTAGCCCAGGAATAGTCAGGGAAACAGATAATTTAGTTAAAGTGTCTCGGTCTAATAAGGGAACTGGGCAGCTGGGGATAACTAAAAAAGAGTGCTTAAAAGAGTATTGTCTAAGTTGGCTCCAGAGTTGGGGAGTTTTAAGAGGTTTAGAAGCCTGGCCGTCAATACCCACAACAGTTATGAAGGTAAGGGAAACAGGCCCTTGAAAAGAAGGTAATGTGGAGTGGGTAGCCTCTGTATTGATTAAGAAGGGGACAGACTTACCTTCCACTGTAAGAGTTACCCGAAGCTCGGCATCCGTGATGGTCTAAGGGGCTTCCGAGGCGATCGGGCAGTGTCAGTCTTCAGCTGCTAAGCCGAGAAGATCTGGGAAGGAGTCAGAGAGCCTTGGGCCAGAGTTCCAGAGGCTCTGGGAATGACTGCCAGGTGAGTTGAACAGTCTGATTTTCAGTGGGGTCCCGCACAGATGGGACGTGGCTTAAGAGGAATTCTGGGCTGTGGGCATTCCTTGGCCTGGTAGCCAGATTTCTGGCACTTGTAGCAAGCTCCTGGGGGAGGCGGGCCTGGAGGAACACTTGGCCACTGAGGTTTAGGCGTTTGGAAGTTCTTGTGTGTGGAGATGTGGCTGGGGTTTGTCTCACAGTGGAGGCAAAGAATTGCAACTCAGAAATATGTTGCTACTTGGCTGCCTCTACTCTATTATTGCACACCTTGAAGGCAAGGTTAATTAAGTCCTGTTGTGGGGTTTGAGGGCCAGAATTTAATTTTTGGAGTTTTATTTAATGTCGGGAGCAGATTTGGTAATAAAATGTATATTGAGAATAAGACGGCCTTTTGACCTTTTAGGGTCTAGGGCTATAAAGCATCTCAGGGTTGCTGCCAAACGAGCCATGAACTGGGCTGGGTTTTTATATTTGATGAAAAAGAGCCAAAACACTATCTGATTTGGGATAAAGAAAAAGGAGCATTAATCTTGACTATGCCTTTAGGTCCAGCCACCTTTTTAAGAGGAAATTGCTGGGCAGGTCGGGGAGGGCTAGTCACAGAATGAAACTGTAAGCCGGACCAGCTGTGAGGAGGGGAGGTGATAAAAGGATTATAGGGTGGAGGAGCAGAGGCTGAGGAAGAATTGGGACCTAGCTCGCCCTGGGGAGGAGGGGAGAGGTCAGATGGGTCTGTAGAAAATGAAGATTAGAAAGACTCAGTGACGCTTGGGGTTGGGACTGAGGGGACCGGTGGGAGGGAAAGAAGGAAGATTTGGCATGAGTTGCACTGGGCACAGAGACTAGGGTGGGACCGATGTGTAAAAGAATGCCTGGATGTCAGGCACCTCAGACCATTTGCCCATTTTACAACAAGAATTATTTAGATCTTGTAAGATGGAAAAATTGAAAGTGCCATTTTCTGGCTATTTGGAACAACTCTCGAGTTTGTATTGGGGTCAAGCGGCATTGCAGAAGAAAATAAGGCATTTAGGTTTTAGGTCAGGTGTGAGCTGAAGAGGTTTTGGGTTTTTAAGAACACAGGCTAAGGGGGAATGGAGGGCGGAAGCTTGCCCATAGTGAAGGAGGCAAGCCCAGAGAAAAGAGAGAGTAGAGACACGGAGATAAGGGGTGGGGGCTTCTTGCCCCCCAGAAAAGCAGAGAAGGGGTAGAGACACAGAGAGAAGGGTTGGGGGGTTCATGCCCCTCAGAAAAGCGGTACTTGCCGCTAAGGGTGAAGGACCAAGGCAGGCATCCCCACATGGTCAGACACCTCTGAAACGTGGGTGAATAATCAGGCAGGCGTCCCTGCGTGATTAAACACCAAGGGAAGACTGTCTTCCCAAGTCCGTGACCAGCGCCGGAGTTTTGGGTCCACAGATAAAACACGTCTCCTTCATCTCTACCAGAAAAGGAAAGGAACTGAAATTAAGAGAAGGGAGAGATTGAAGTGTGGCGCCAAAATTGAAAGGAGAAAGAGGTTGAGGGATCGTGAGAGAGGTTGGAGAAGAGAGTAAAAAGAGGCCGCTTACTGGATTTAAAATTGGTGAGATGTTCCTTGGGCTGGTTGGTCTAAGGACCAGAGATCGTAGGTGGATCTTTCTCACGGAACAAAGAGCAGGAGGACAGGGGATTGATCTCCCAAGGGAGGTCCCCCGATCCGAGTCACGGCACCAAATTTCACTCGCGTCCGTGTGAAGAGACCACCAAACAGGCTTTGTGTGAGCAACAAGGCTGTTTATTTCACCTGGGTGCAGGCGGGATGACTCCGAAAAGAGAATCAGCCAAGGGAGATAAGGGTAGGGCTGTTTTATAAAATTTGGGTAGATAAAGGAAAATTACAGTCAAAGGGGGGTTGTTCTCTGGTGGGCAGGAGTGGGGGTCACAAGGTGCTCAGTAGGGGAGCTTTTGAGCCAGGATGAACCAGGAAAAGGAATTTCACAAGACAATGCCATCAGTTAAGGCAGGCCATTTTCACTTCTTTTGTGGTGGAATGTCATCAGTTAAGGAAGGAACCGGCCATCTGGATGTGTATGTGCAGGTCACAGGGGATATGATGGCTTAGCTTGGGCTCAGAGGACTGACACACTTTATTAGCAGAACCCAAATCATATTCAGGCCTTAGACCTTAGCTACAAGGGAGAGAGGGAGATGGAGTTAGACTTAGAGCCATAAGATGTCACAGAAAAGGAGAGGGATCACCTAGGTTCTGCACAGCACTTTAAGTGGTTCTAAAATAGCTGACCCTGAAGACCACACTTTGAAAAGATCTCAATGTTCACTCATTTAAAATAAAGCTAAACCAAAGTTTGAGTTTACTAGTAACAAATGTTTCTTTTTTATGTTAGAATTAATAAAGTAACATCTATGGCTGGGTGCAGTGGTTCACGCATATAATCTCAGCACTTTGGGAGGCTGACACAGGTGGATCACTTGAGGTCAGCAGTTCGAAACCAGCCTGGTCAGCATGGTGAAACCCTGTCTCTACTAAAAATACAAAAATTAGCCAGGCATGGTGGGGCGCACCTGTAATCCCAGCTACTTGGGAGGCTGAGGCAAGAGATTCGCTTGAACCTGTGAGGTGGAGGTTGCAGTGAGCCGATATCACACCAGTGCACTCCAGCCTGGGTGACAGAGTGAGACTCTGTCTCAAAAAAAAAGAAAGTAACATCTAAGCTGAGTCTAAATTTCAAAAAATTTAAATGAAAAAAGAGACGTTGTAACCAGAAGCACTATCATGAATAAATAGTTTGGGCCCACTATAAGAATATATGCTATTGTTATTCAATAGAAGTAGTTCTAAATGATACTTGGTGCCCATATTGTAAAGAACTTTGCATTTCCAGGCTAAAGAATTTAAATTTCATACCTTTATCTATTGGGGTTGTGCTAGCTGGTAAAACAAATAGAATCGAAATATACAACAGCTTGAACAAAATAGAAGTTTATTTCTCATTCTCATAACCATCTAAGATGGAAGTCGCTGGTTGGCAGGCAGCTCTCCTCCACATAGTGACTCAGAGACCGTCGCCTCTTATTTTGTAGTGCAATTGTCCTCTAGGGCCCCACCCTTATCCATATACTACCAACCGAGGGGAAAAACACTGTGGAGATTGCACCATTCTTAAAAATCATGGCTCAGAAATGGCACATATAACTCCTTCACATTCTATTGGCTAGAACTCAGTCACATGACTTTATATAAATACAAGGGATGATGGGAAATATAGTTTAGCTGTGCACTCTGGAAAAAATATTGTCGTTAAAAATCTGCTACAATTCTGTAGGCATACATCCTCTCATGGGTTCTCCAAGAAACATTAGTATTACGAGTTACTCTACAATAATTAAAACAAAACAAAACAACAACCAGTACCCAGTGAATAAAAGGCTCTGAGAAATTTTCTAGTAAAGAAACCTTGTAATTGTATTTATACAAAGATTTTATACTTGTTTAACTATTGAAACCCATTTTGAAAGAATGCTTCAGAAAATAATATTGTAAGAGCAATTAGTGATAATTTCTCAATAGGAGAGTATTGCTGTATGATCAGAGCTATTCCTTTGAATTATTAAGCTGGATAGTATTTCCGGGGCACATAGAAGAGAATTAGTTTGAGGAAAGCATACCATGAGAGATGACATTTAATCATAAGTGATTACATAATAAAAGTAAAACATTTTATAGCCTGATTTAGGCCGATGACAGAATGGAAATAAGAGAATTTATAAAAAACATTGATACTGAAATAAACAGACCTGACA
The DNA here is from genome assembly GCF_000001405.40 of Homo sapiens. NCBI lineage: Eukaryota > Metazoa > Chordata > Mammalia > Primates > Hominidae > Homo > Homo sapiens. The sequence continues at coordinate 188,176,371 of NC_000002.12, forward strand.
ACTAATTAGATGTAAGGCTACAGAAAAGAGTCACATATGTGTCTACTTTAATGTGAACTAAGGATGAGGGAGAAATTATAGACGTCTCCAAGGTTTTATTTTCAAGGAACTAGAAACATGGTGATCAAAAAGAGTTGTTGTGGCAATTATTAACAGAAATAAATCAGAGAAATATAGGTAAGAGTTGGTTTTGTTATGAGGCGTTAAAACCCCTTAAATTAGTGTAAATCTTGGAAATTTGAAGTTGCCAAAGATAAAGTATGCAACAAGAAATAAAGAGGGTTAAAGCCTAGTTATTGAGGGTTACTGCATTTAGATGGGAAGAAAAAAAAGACAAAAAAAAAATAAGGGAGACAATATCTAATACTATGTATCAAAACCAAGGGAGAAAGAATTTGCAACAAGTTAGTGGTCATCTACCACAAATAGCATAGAGAGAGCCAGTATTACTACATCACCAAGGGTGTGATACAAATAAGGTCACATTCCATTTAACACTCAAATTAAATGCTCCAGGCAAAATTAGCAGGACAAGCAATTTTCTTTAGAACTCTTTTTTCCCTTCAAAGACTAAAAGAACCCTGGGTCAATACTCAAACAAAAATTACAGGCCAGCTTTTTAAAATACCAGGTGAAATGAAAATTAGAAATCCATCTCAGTAGCCTGGGCACTCCAGTTTTAGGTAACCTTTCTTTTTTTGCTGAAATAGAATACTGCCACTGAAAACAAACTTTAACCAATATTGCAATGATCACTTTGCTGGTTCAGGTCTCCACGTAGGCCACGGTTTTTCTTTGAGCTAGAAAATGATTTCTTCACACTCTAATGCCAAATTATATTTTTGAAAATACATCGTAATATATCAGCTAAAATTCACACAGAAGCAGACTAAGGAAAAGACTAAAACCTCACACCCTAAAACATGAAAATTAGTAACTCAGAAAAGAAAGGGAAGAATCTGATATAATATTTCTGGGCTGTTAATGCTGAAACTATCATTTTGGAATTAGCGTTCAGACAAGGAGTTGATGTGATAAAATGCTAAGACTTCTCAATAACATCCTTAAATTGGAGAGTGGTGGACTGAAGAATGCATTAATAGTCCATAGCACATAAAGGAAAACAAAACAAAAACACTGAACTTTTGAATCTGAAAGTCCTACTTAGCCAGGACACGATCTCACCAGAAATAGGTCAGTCAGGGATGGCTTGCTCTTTTCCAAGGTTTTATGTGATCTGACGGAATAGGCAAACTTAAGATTCCACATAATTGATTTCACCTTGGTACAGGACTTTTAGTAGGATCTCAGAGCACAGAACAGCTCCTGGATTTTCCAGAAGAGACTCAGTGCTCTTAACTAGAAAAAGTATATAGACATTAACACCTAACCTACTATCTGTATCTCTGAAGGGAAGGTAAAATCCTAAATGAGGCAGATAAACATAAAACAGAATTTAAGCAAGGGTATGGCCTTGAAAGTATCCAAACATGCTAAAGAAAAGGCAGAAAAATACCGCCTGAATTATTGAGGTGTTGAAAGTGTAAAGAAGGAAATGTAATCAGCATGAAACTAGGTTATATGAAGATCCATATAAATGTATATTAATGTTAGTAATGTGGTTAGTAGATTTCTCAACTTTTAGAATTTACCTAAATGCAATTATTGAACAGTTCATTATCTTACAGAACACAGTATAGATGTTACCAATGTGGTATATTGCCCATATTAGCAAGAAGAAAAATGGGAAGAGATGTGGAGGAAGCAGAAGGTCTCTAAAACCTCAAAAACAAGAAATACAAAAACAAAACCAAGATGTAAAGTCAAAAGTTGATGGGAAAAGAAATAGAAGCATGAACATATTATTTAAATTTTCAAATGTAACAAATTGTTAAAAAACTGATATATCTATCAAATTTGAGAGGAAGGAGAGGAGGTAAAGATGTTGTAACTGGATCAAACTTGACATACTTTAGTAGGGAATTACTGTATTGTATATTGTTAATAAATTATGGGAAAGAGGCATAAGAATTCTATTGAGAGCTCTAGCAGGAACTAGGAAAAGAACTGAAATAAAAATTGTTTTAAAGTGATGCCTCTGAAATACAGTGCTGATGTGGGGAAAAAATAAAATGCAAGCCAATTGATTTCTATTTTAACCATTTAATCAGATTTCATCATTTACACATTTTATCATGATAATTTTGAAAGCCAATATATCCACTTGTTGTCCTGGTATTAATTGTCTGCCAAGGAATTTAATGAAGGCAAAAAATTTCAGCAAACTTTTCCCTGAGCAATAGGCACAGTAATAATGCTAATACTAATACTAATATTAAAACAGGAACTCCTTAAGTTCCTCTTTGAATAACAAACAATCTGATAAAAAGGGAGTTTCTGCTCCACTTTTATAGGAAGAGATCTAGGAGACTTGTATAGCTGGGGGTTTTTTTGTTGTTTGTTTTTGGGTTTTTTTGTTTTTGTGTGTGTGTTTTTTTTCTTTTTTTTTGAGACGGAGTCTCGCTCTATTGCCCAGGCTGGAGTACAATGGCGCTATCTTGGTTCACTGCCACCTCTGCCTGCCGGGTTCAAGCAATTCTTCTGTCTCAGCCTCCAGAGTAGCTGGGACTACAGGTGTGCGCCACCATGCCTGGCTAATTTTTTGTATTTATAGTAGAGATGGGATTTCACCATGTTGGCCAGGCTGGTCTCAAACTCTGACCTCATGATCCGCCTGCCTCAGCCTCCCAAAGTGCTGGGGTTACAGGTGTTAGCCACCACGCCCAGCCAGCTGTTTCTTTTAATCAAGTTTTACACACCAGGCACTCTGCTACACAGATCACATTAAAGGAATAAGCATGGGAGAAAATACTAGTGAATTTCACTATTTTGTGGGCACAGATAACTTTTGTGTTTAAATAGAGTGTTGGCACTAGAAGGCAGACTGAAAGAATTTATGGAATAAGTGAAACATAAAAAATTGTTACAATATAGAGTTTGTTTACAAGAATAAGGAAGGAATAAATGTATAATGGAACATGCTTATTCAGCTACTCAGGCATGTCATTGTACCCTCAATCCTACTCTGCTCTTTATTCCTCGAATCTTCCTTTCACACAACCCTTACTCCCAACTTCGTTTGCTTTCATTTACTCATCCTGCATGATTCATTTTAAATGTCACTTCCATTCAGTTTTCTTGAACTAATGAATATGATCTCATTGCATGTGCATATGTGTACTATATGCTTCCTCTCTTAGAGGAATAATCAAACTTGAGATTAATTATTTACTTAATTGTCCGTCTCCTCTAGTTTATTCAAAAATCTTTTAAGGAAGAGCCCATGTCTCCGCTGCTCTCCACTGCATTTCCAGTGCACAGAGAATGTCTGACACAGTCAATACTTATTAGAGAATAATTTTTTTTAATAAATAAATGAGTAAATGAATGTATGACTATATTATTGAGAACTGTGTTTGTTCATCATTGTTTGTTTATCTGTTTGAGGGGAGGGAAGGAAGGCATTGAGGATGGTATTTCAGGGTAATAATTTTTATTTATTATTTTTTAGTGAAACAGAGTCAGCCAAGGGAGAGACTAGAGATGCAACTAATAACTATTTAGTAGAGTAATGCCTTCAAGAAATGCTTCTCAAACCTTAAGTGCATACAAATGGCTTGAATAACCTGTTAAAAACACAGATTGGATTTGGGAGTTCTACATGGTGCATGCGACTCTACATTTTTTAAAAGCTCCCAAGTGATACTGATGCTATGAACCAAATTCTAGGTAACATTGTGTTTGAAACAGTAGGGAAAGGTGAGTCTAATTCCAAACAACAATAAGTGTGTTTGCTCTGGCAAGGAAGAGAATTCCAATTTCCATAGACGGGTATATAGACAGATGAAGACAGAGAAACCTAAAGGCAAAAAAGAAGACAAACAAAAGTACTCTCATTGAAAATCCTCTCTTCCCCCAATAACTAGATGGCATATTACTTAAGTATTAAAAGTTTGAGAGTGGGGCTGGGCGCGGTGGCTCACACCTGTAATCCCAGCACTTTGGGAGGCCAAGGCAAGTGGATCACTTGAGGTCAGGAGTTCGAGACTAGCTTGGCCAACATGGCGAAACCCCATCTCTACCAAAAGTACAAAACATTAGCCAGGTGTTGTGGGCGCCTGTAATCCCAGCTACTTGGGAGGCTGAGGCAGGAGAATCGCTTGAACCTGGGAGGCGGAGGTTGCAGTGAGCCGAGATTGTGCCACCGCAGTCAGCGACAGAGAAAGACTTCGTTTCAAAAGAAAAAAAAAATGAAAGAATGACCTGGGCTTGTACAAATAGGAAAATGTTTTCAATCAGATGATGTGGGAAAGGTCATAGGAGAGCAGTTCTTAACTTTTACCACTGAAATTACCAGGGGAGTTTTTAAAAGTTCAATGCTCAGACACACCAGGCCAATTAACCAGAATTCCTTCGGGTCTTTCAGCATCAATATATTTTAGAGCTTCTTAGGTGAATCCACTGGACATCCAAGGATGAGAACTGTACCCATATCAGTTTGACAGCAGCTAACAATTTGAAGCCAGTGGGAGCTGTAGTTCTCCTTTCCTAGAACCTCACTACTGGGAGGTATGCTACCATCACAGTAAGACTCAGGCTGAATTATTGCATGTTTAGAAGGTTCAAAAATAGTTAAAGTCATGTTAATGTAAACTAGATGAAGTCTTAGCTGTTTAGCCTTTTAGGCAGTCCAACTGTTCTTGGTAGGCCAACTCAAGTTCTTGACTTTACCACACAGAAGAATTTGAGAGCAAGCCCAAAGTAAGAGTAGGCAAGGTTTATTGCAAAGTGAAAGTACACTCTGAGAGGCAGAGTGGGCTGCTCAGAGGGAGAGACAGCAGCTAGTTCCTTAAAAGGAATTCCTTTTATGGCCATTGTTTTATGGGAGTTGTTTATACATATTCATTCATAAAATACTAGTGAAGTCAATTTATGCAAAGGTGGACCTGTGGTTGGTGGAGGGGCTTAGCATCTGCATATCCCAACACACATCTCGTGCATCATTAGCTTATAAAATCTCACCTAGGGGTGTGTTTTCTACTATCAAAATGAGGAAAAGTTCACTGTAAGCTAAACCTTGAGCCTAGCTGCACGTGTGGATAAAGTCCTAGCTTCAGGCAGGAACCTGTGGTTTCTTGGGCTTTGGGTGTTGATTGGCTGGAGAATGGGGAAGCTACATCAGGAATAAGAGGCTTTTGTTCTCTTTCCGTGGCTGTACTAGGTATCAGGAACTTGTAACCATCTGGCGGTCCCGTAGGATTGCTTATCTTGCAGAAAAGTTGCTGAAGCAGGTGGATACAAGAGAAAGGAGCCTGCTGTGAAAGGGGCTTCACAAGGGGACAAGTTAGGATGATCTAACTTTATAGTTGGATCAAGAGACAAAATCTTCTAGCAAGTGAAAGGGACAAGTCTTAATGGGTCACTGGAACTAGTGTGCTTGCTGAGCTCCTCAGATTTTTAGATCTCATTAATGATAACTGTACTTTTTGTTTTTAACCAATCATGTATCTTGTACAACTCTCATTTAGATAATGAAAATTTATTTTTACCATTCCTTATGTTAATTAACAAATTCTCTAGTGTAGATTAAGATAACACTAATTGAATGGCTTGCTATACTTGTGGCTGAAGTGTGGGCCTTTGATTAAAGTCTTTCAAATGCTAATTAAACACCCTTGAATTGTAAACAACTCATTCTGTTACTTAAAATTTAAACACTTCCTAAAGTGTTGATTGAAGTCAGTCGCAGCAAATATCATTGTTGAGTGCTCAATGATTGAGGGCCAGAGTTGCATGACTTAGGACAGTATCTTACAAAGCAGAATCAGATTGAATCCCACACAATTCCAAATGATCTACCTGATAGACAATTCTAGTAAGCGATTATCTTATTTATACATATCTGAACCCAGGCTTCATCCCTGCCTTATATAAAAATATAAAGTGTTTCTGCATTGTGTTTGGGAACTGTTAATTTTTCAATATTGCAAGTGACATGTGAGTCAAGGGACAATACTTTGTATTGTTCAAGTATTTATCAAGAATTGCGTGTAATTTCAGAAAACAATGTCACCAATAGCAATGTTATTTGTACTAATTGAATCATTAATACAGCATCCCTGTATCAGTCTGCATTTGAGACTGTTGCCATCATGGTAATATTAAACATCGGTGAAACATTTAGCTATTTCATTATGCTTTCTAGCACAAGTGGTACATGACCTTTTTTCAAAAACAATGCAATTAGCTGTATTATAACTTTTCTTTTATCTCTTTTTTATGTCACAGCTATGTTTCATGCTATATTGCAGTAATTCAATTTAAAAAATTATTTGTATAAGTAGGTCATTTATGAATTCTATTTCATAATAGTAAAGGGAGAGTTAAAAATATTGTGCTGTTGGTCCATACTGAGCTATTTTAAGGTAAATATAGATAATATAAAAGTTTTAAACAAAGCCACTGAATAGAGGTGTGCACACTGTGAAAACTCAATAAAAAAAAATAGCATCCTTTCAAAGTGGAACTAATTACATTGTTTTGTGATGTTTTTCATCAATGCTCATTACTTGCTCCATAAGCATATGACAGAAAAATAAAAGATGAGAATCATTTTGAATAAGTTCCCAAACTCATCTAACTAAAGTTTAAGTAGTATGTTAGAAATAATAGATGTGTAGGTAAGTATGGAGAGAATGAATTTAAAAATTTGTCCTCTGAGAAAGCAACACCAAAGTTAAACAGGCAAGAAAGATTTCATTGAATGCTATTGCAATAAAATAGAGAGAGACCAGAATACAGTACAGAAGACTTCTCCCCACCTTATCCACAGAGGATAGGTTCCAAGACCCACAGTGGATGCTGAAACCTCAGACAGGATCAAGCCCTTTAGGTAAATACAGTCATGTATTGCTTAATGAGGAGGATATACTCTGAGAAATGTGTCAATAGGCAATTTTGTTGTAGGAACATCATAGAGAGTACTTACACAAACCTAGATGGAATAGCCAACTACCATTCAGGCTATATGGTATAGTCTATTGCTTCTAGGCTACAAATCTATATAACATGTTAATACTGTAGGCAACTATAACACAATGGTATCTGTGTACCTAAACATAGTAAAGGTAATGTGTTGCACTACAACATTAGGCAATAGAAATTTTTCAGCTCCATAATAATTTTTTTTTTAAGAGACAGGTCTTACTCTGTCACTCAGGCTAAAGTGCAGTGGGGTGATCATAGCTCACTGTGACCTGGAACTCCTAGGCTCAAACTATCCTCCCACCTTACCATCCCAAATAGCTGGGGCCACAGGCATGCGCTACCATGCCCAGCTAATTTTTAATTTTTTTTTTTTTTGGTAGAAACAGGGTCTCACTATGTTTCCCAGGCTGGTCTTAAACTGCTGGCCTCAAGCGACCTTCCCACCTTGGTCTCCAAAGTGTTGGGATTACAGGTGTGAGCTACCTCACCAGGCCCCCATTATAATCTTATGGGACCACCATTGTGCATGTGCATTGTGCATTTTCATTAACTAAAACTTCATTATGTGGTACATGACTACTGTTTTCCCCTATACATACATACCAATGATAAAGTTTAATTTATAAATTGGGCACTGTAAGAGATCAACATCAATAACTAATAATTATACAACAATTATAACAATATGCCAGCATCACTACTCTTGTGCTTTGGGGCCATTATTAAGTAAAATAGGGTTATTTCAACACAAGCACTGGGGTACCTTGACAGTTGATCAGATAACTGAGATGGTTTCTAGGGGACTAATGGGTGAGTAGCACATACAAGGTGCATATACTGGACAAAGGAGTGATTCACATGGTGGGTGGGATGAAGCTGGGTGACACTGTTACAGGTGGGTCTTTGTTCTTAGAGCTCCCAAGATGGTGGTGGGCTGCTCCCAAGATGGCCGTGGCTGCTCCCAAGATGGCAGCAAGCCTTTTCTTCTCTAACCTTGGGTTCTTGGCCTCATAGATTCCAAGGAATGGAACCTTGGGCCATGTGGTGGGTGTTATAGTTCTGTTAGAAGCTGTGGGTCAGGGAAGAGAACCCAGGAACCCAGCGACTAGTGTTCAGCTTGATTAGGATGAACTCAGGCACTTAGCCATGCAGGAACAATGGCGAGCCTCTAGCCCAAACCGGAGCGGCAATGGGCACCTCGCTGCATCAGAAATGCAGCGGACCCCCTGCCAGATCCGGAGGCATGGAAGTTAATGGTGGTCTGGGACGACGGCAATCAGCAGTGGTGGACAGCAAGCGAAAGCTCAGCTTGAGACGGAACAAACACGGACCAGAAGAGCGTGCAGTTGCAAGATTTAATAGAGTGAAAACAGAGCTCCCATACAATGGGAGGGGACCCAAAGGGGGTTGCCCCCTCTGGGCTGGAATGCCTGGGGTTTATATCCCAATCATGGTTCCTCCCCCTGTGCTCTCAGATGATAGATGATTTGACTATTTCTTTAGCTCCTGTTTTTAACTTAATTGGTGTTTTAGTGAGCCCTCTTTATTACCTGCCACAAGCCCTGTGTTGTGTTTAAAGGTGGGTGTGGTCACCTTCCCCAGCTAGGCTTAGGAATTCTTAGTCGGCCTGGGAAACCCAGCTAGTCTTGTCTCTCAACACAAGTTTTATCATACTACCCAGAACACTATGTAATTTAAAACTTACAAATTCTTTATTTCTGGAATTTTCATTTAATATTTTGAACTGCAGTTGACTGTGCGTGGGTAACTGAAACTATGGAAAGTCAAACTAGGGATAAAGGGTACCTATCGTATGAACTCAACTGCATTGAAACTGAGGCCAGGAGAGTTTTTGAAAAGCCAGGGATGAAGATCATAGGCAATTTGTGTTGCCAACTGATCTTACCCAAAAGAAAAGTAAACTTTCTCATATTTTCGTAAAAAGAAGTAATTTTATAACTTTGAGCAAAGCAGTCACCCACCCAAGTTGGGCCACTACCCTCCCATAGAAAGTAGGAGATGGGGTGCTATCTCTCTTAATGTTTATATTTTAAAGACATGGCAAACAGATCCTTCAGAAATTCGTGAGTTGTAAAACTGATGAGAGGCTTTTAAAAGGATTTACTTCTCAAAAGGGTGGAGAAATAATTTACAATTACAGATTTTCTAAATAAAATGCTCTAAGGAAAGGGAGGTAGGACCTAGAGTCAGAAGGAAGGCTGCCTAAAGTTTAGTCAGGCAGAGGGAAACTACAAGGTTACCTGTAAATTAACCACCCTGGAAACCATAAACTTATTCCAATCATCTGCAATATCTTATTCTCAGCCCAAAGGTATTGAGAATTCTTTTTTGGATGAGGACAAAACTGTGTTTTGAATAATTGATCCATTTTTTGTTCTTAATCTTGTATTTATTAAAATTTAGAAAAAATAAAATAAAATAAAACTTAGAAGGTAAGACAAAGAGTTTCCTATATAAGTTTTGTCGACTGTGAAGAAAATACAATGACTAATGAAAATGCACGCATGGATAAGTTTGGATATGTCTGTTAAAAATTGTTATTGTACTATATGTATATGTTAACATACAAGATAAATGTCACATTTTATTGATATGTAAGTATTGTCCTAAATGCTAAAATTTTATAATAATTTGCCATTATCATAAACAATATAAATAATCATTTAAATGACTGAGCAATAAAATTAATTTTCCATTATAAAATTTATATTCAACAGGCAGCATGAACATTTTATATACTCCCTTGAGCTAATATATTTCTGCTAGGCTTTCATTTAAAGTAGATTTTCATTTATACAATACTCTATTGCTAAAGCACTGAGGGCTTACTTCAGAAATATGCATTTCGTTTTTTAAGTACATAAAAGTATATTAAAAAGCTCCCATTATTATCTCTACTTGAGAATATCTGTTTATACAAGACTTGAAGTTGAACAAAATGATTTTTTATGAAACCATTAAGCAAAGATTCATTTATCCCTAAGGATAGAAATAATTGTATCTGTGTAGATCTGGCTTTATAATAGATTTAATATTTCTAAATTTGCAAATAAGTTCTATTAGAGTTTTCCCCAAGCATGTCGCCAGACACTAATAATAAATATTTGAAAAAGATACTGCTATTTTTTTCTCTGTGTCTTTCTTATTACTTATGTGCATCATCTACCCTTCATATTTTCCCATAAGTGATTGGTTTAAACACCATTCTTATACTATAGCATTTGTGACACAGAGTGCATTTTATGAATAAAGGAACAAAAATGTGTGTTTTCCCTTTCAAATTTTTTTGCTAATCTTTCTTATTTAGTCTTTTGAGTCAACATCATTCTATAGGTTGCAATAATCTTTAACGAATCACAATGTATAAATTTAAAAATTGTAATGCATATAAATAAGTTGATATTATTTATGTCATATAAGAATCTGTTAAGTTATGAAAAGCAAGATCACCTTGTGCATTTGATCATTCTTAAAAATTCAATTTATTCATTCTGAAACTTTCAGAAATAATAAAACAAAAAAAATTGTTTGAAGTGAAGCAAATCACCTGTTCTTGAAGTGGAGGTCTGAGCAAACATGAGAGAATAAGAGTGACCTCAGCAACTCTGAGGCAACCTGTGGAGTGGCAAAAGCAATAGATTTAGAGGCAGGAAGACATGGATAGAAATTTCAGCTATATCATTTTTTGGCACATATTGGAAACAAAGAATAACCTATTCTCTTTCTTGCCTATATTAAAATATCTAAATATGATTATTAAATTGCTCTTTGTATTTCTCTTAGTATTAATTATATCAGAAATTTTCATTGTGTAACCTTATTTATTCTTTTGCAGTCATTTTATTATGTACATCTGTCAAATTTTCATTTCTTAATGTTCCCTTTCAACTTTGTAGTTCACATCAGAAAGAGAGCAATGTGCAAAAAACTTTTAAATCAGAAATGAATGATCTCACAGATCACCTTTAAAAATATGGTATAGTAGCAACTACATGGTTCTGATGTTTCCCTAGATCCAAATCTATTTTCTCCATTAAATGTCCAAAGATTCTAACTATGTAATAGCAGACAGCTTTTTGTGGCTTTACTTCTATTTCTTTTTATTTTCCAAATTTTCTATATGTAATTATATCAAGTCAGTAGCTTCACTGTGTTTAATCAGATGACACCAACCTGGGCATAATAATAGAATCATGATAACATTTTTAAACAAACAAAGATGATTTCTCTTGCTTTGATTCTCTCATTTCTGCAGGAATGCCAGCTCCCCCAAATTCCACCCTCATAGTATTTTTTTTTTAATCTTTAGGACAGTGTCTCCTACCTACTCACCAAGTATTTATCAGAGTTATCACCTTCTGTGTCTGTGGTTTTTCACATTCCTGCTCTATTTCTATGTGGTACCTACTGCCAAATCATCAAGACCTGCACCAAAGGCAGCACCACTCATGCTAAAAGTGCCAAGATCCAGTGCCTGTTTTCTATTCTAAAAGTAAACTGGTCTGAATAGACACTATGTGCTGCACCTGTACTACAAAAATTGCTCTCATTTATAAAAGCCACAAGTAGTGCTTTCATTGTTTCATGTAAAATTTAAAGTAACTGCCACTGAAGCTTTTCTTTTGCTTTCATTGCAGCTTTCTCTTTCTGGAGTTTAAACATAAGTTCAGAGATGTGGGGCACAGGATAATCTAATGAGAGCCAACAGCTTTACAGAAGAAGCAATATGTCTTTTTCCAATACAGATGCCGTGTTTTTAAATCAATTGTACTTCTTTACTCTTTTATTTTAGGTTACTTTTCCCCCAAGGAATGTATTTATCCTTGAGTATACAGATATCCAAGGAGATTAATTTTTCCTATGTGACTTCGCCTCTCACAGCCCCTTCCATAAGAGGTTAGACAAAGAGACAGGTCCAAGTTCTATTCGGAGCTGCTTTAGGACATGTAAAGCACCCTTCAATAAAAGGACAAAGTAAACCCCATATAGCAGTTTATTGTCGGTTGGTTGGTTTTGTTTTTCCCCCAGGTAGATATAGCAGCAGTCAGCAGGGAAAGAAAATTATATCTACTTTTTGATTCCTAGGGATTCTCCATCTGTGATGGACTAGAGGCAAGATCAGATCACCTCTGGTGCACTACAAATAGAAAGGATTAAAGAGCTCCACTCTCAAGGAAGTAAGGGACATCTCTCCTGAGGTGATAGTAAATTAAACCTAGTAAATTAAACAAATTAACATCAAAATTGCAAAGACAAACTGAGTTTATACCGGTGTATTTTATTTCATATTCTAATTATTACTGTAGCTATGATAAATTCTATACTTATGTAATTACCATTTTCATGATTTTCATATTTAAAGATATGAACATGAAGTCTAAAATTACCCCAAAATAATGAAAAATCAATTGGATTAGTGGGTTACTAAAGTTATTTTAATAATATGCAAAAACCTTTGCTTCATGGGTAAAGACACCGTGGATCCAATCAAACTACTTATCTAGAATTAATATGTAACTTTATTGTCTAGTAGATGAGGGCTATAATGTGGCCATACATTATCAAAACTACCCTACCAATGCTAAAGGAATAAATTAACCTAATGGATGATTTTGTGGAAGGATGACTTACTTTGGGGTGAGTATATTCTACTTTCGCTCTCTCATTTCACCTTTTTAAAGCAATTATTCCTGAAAGGAAATAAAATATAACTTTTAATTTGTATACATACTTACATATACCTAAAATATCCCACTAGAAACCATCTCTGATGGTTTTACCTTTCCTGTCTTTGATCAATATCCTGGAGAGAACCTACAGCAGCTATCTAGTCACCTGTGGGTATTGCAACTGTAGTTTGTCAGGTATTAAAAACTCTAGTCCAGTTTACTATTAGTTAACATCATATCTGGCTTTTTCTCTTGCAGTACACTTTCTTAGGATCTTTGAAGCATCTCCTTGTGTCAATTAGTTATTGTTGTATTATAGGACAGCCTAAAACTCGATTGTTTAAAACAACAACCAATTATGATCTCTTAGAAGTCTGTGGTTTGACTGGTATAGTTGACTAATCTAGATTGTTTTACCTAGGAGTGGCTCAGCTCCACCTCTCTTTCATCCTCATCCTGTCTCTGGGATGAGTGGGCTTTCTGAGTCACATTCTTCTCTTGATAACGGCAAAGGCATAAGGGAGGACGGGTTAAAGTGAGTGTACAAGCATATTTAAAATCTATGTTGTAGCACATCTACTGTCATTTCAAAGGTCAAAGCAAATCACAAGGGTAAGCTCAACATCAATGGAGAACATATGCCTTCCTTGAACTTGAGGACAAGAGAGAGTGAATATTTCTGGATAATAATTTAATCTACCACACTCTCTTTAATGCCTATATCCTGTCCTAACACCCCCAACCACCACCCCTCCATAACTCTATTCCCTGAATTAGTGATGAAAACTCTGGATCGTACTACTTTTTCCTCCGTTTTTTTGTGAAGAAGTGTCATGCTCTCAAGGCAGTCCTTTCAGAATGATTCAAACCTGTTACCTTCTATAGGGTCCTCATGACCCACAGGGAAACTCAGCATCTTTGGGCCACCAAATTTTAAGGGTCGTGGTCATTTCTACAATAACCCTGTTTCTTTGCCTCACGCTAAAAGGCACTTCTAGGGAGTATTGTGTCATTAGGATTTCCAGGTAACATGTGGTCATCAATTTCTGTGTCTTTTCCAAACCCCAGGGCACATGGATCAAGATTCATTAACATAGTGTCACCATGTTGGCAGCAGGGAACCCCGGGCTCTTTTATGTAGCTTGATCACTGAGGTAGAGAATAAAAAGCCCAAGTATCACAACTTATCCTAAAGGTTTAAATATCCTTAGTTTCTACTGTCCCGATGGTCACCAAGCAGCAACGTACCCTCTTCAGAGCTCCATTGCCCTTATGTGCTGTATTGTGAGTTTTCAATTTAGGGTCTCGAGCTGTGGTTGAATAAATAAAAATGGGAAAGTTTCCATGTTCATGATTATGCTAGTATTTTCTCCTTTGACCCATCATCCAGTACTGGTTATATAGGTAGAAGCCTACTTGTTATAACTTAAACAGTTCATAGAATACCTCAGTGCCTAAGCATATTTTTCCTATCTGGATGCCATAATAAATAAAACTACACTATTAAACAGGATTTCTTCAGGTCAGCATCTCATCTGTAGGAAGCCCACACTTTGGACTTTCATACTTTTGGAAGACTACTGGACATTGGTTAGGAGTATAGATAAAGTAGGAGTAGATATGTTGTGAAAGGAAATCAGGGATCAGAAAAAGACTTCCCTTTTTTATTTAAAGCTACTCCCAATTAATAGAATTGTTCATATTGTCAGTACTGCTATATTGGTGCATAGAGATTCTTAAAATTAGACACTTTTAAACATGAACATATTTGCAAAAAACGAGATGAAAATCCTTTGTGTTTAGCCTTTCCCCTAAGAAACTATGATACTCGGAGCAAAGTTTAGTACCCTCATTGTTTTATTTATGCTTGTTTTACATCTATAGGGTATTATAAGCCAGAAATTACAGAGGGCATGCAAAATCACTTTTAAACTACAAAGTACTATGTGATGAATGGATTATATCACTGTAATTATTTCTGATGTATATATTTAATCAAAATGTATATTTCTAACTTCAAAGGTTAAAGAATTATAAGGCATTTCAGAATGTAGTATTTTGAACTTATTACTAATGAAGTACTATTAAATGGATAATATATTGTAACTTCCATTATTTTATACCTATTTTGAACATTAATTTCATATAAGGAAACTTTTAGTACATGCTTTAGGTGTTATGAGAATAATGTAATAATTTCCAAATCACTCTGAGAATCTTGGAAACATGATGACAAAATTATTCTATTTTTTATTGAAAAATATTATACTTGGAGGTTTTGGGGGTATAATTCCTTGTTAAAGATCCCCAAACATTACATATAAAATCTCCAAACATTACATATTTATAATATCCAAAGTATTATTACATATATTTTAGTCAATATATTTACAGTTAACCCTTTTATGAGGATCACATGTTAAAAGAATAATTATAATGCTGAGTTTGACAAGAAGAGTAAGTTTCTTTTTACTTCCTTCAGTAACAGCTCAGAGAATATCAGAACAAAACTGTTGGCCTTTACGTTTATTTCAAATTATTCTGATATCATTTTAAAGATAATATGTACATGTATTGAAGACCTAAATATAGTATATTTATAAATTTGTAGTATATGCATTAATATAATAAATTTTATAATGTACTATTTTAGTTTCATAGGGCTGACAAAGTCTCATACATTGGGTGGTTTAAAACAATAGAACTTCATTATCTCACAGTCCTGGAGACTAAAAGTCAAAAATCAAGGGGTAGACAAAGCCATTCCCACTCTGAAACCTGTAGAGAATCTTTCCTTGCCTCCTTGTTGCTGCTGGGGGTTTGCTGGTAATTTTTTGTGCTTCTTGGCTTGTAGATGCATTCCCTCAATCTTATCGTCACATCATGTTCTTCCTGCCTTCAAAGAGTCTTCCCTGTGTGTATCTGTCTCTGTATCCAGATTTCTCCTTTCTATAAAGACATTAGTCATATTGAATTAGGGCTTATTCTAATGACTTCATTTTAACTTGATTAGCTCTGCAGAGTCTTTGTAAAGACTCTGCTTCCAAATATTATGAACTACTTGGGATAGGACTTCATTATATATATATATTTTTTTTTGCAGGGAGAGCATAATTCAACGAATAACATGCACATTAGTCTTCTTAAAATTATACATGACAAAAAATGGTAACAAAGGGGTAAATCTGTCTCTAGATTTGCAATACAAAATTAAATGCTAATTGATATGATTTGGCTGGGTCCCCACCCAAATCTCATCTTAAATTGTAGCTCCCATAATTCCCATGTGTCATGGAATTGACCCGGTAGTAGATAATTGAATCACAGGAGTGGGTCTTTCTTGTGCTGTTCTAATGATAGTGAATAAGTCTCATGAGATCTGATGATTTTATAAAGGGGAGTTCCCCTGCACAAGCTCTCTCTTACCTGCCATGATGTAAGACATGGCTTTGCTCCTTCTTTGCCTTCTGCCATGATTGTGAGGCCTCCCCAGCCACGTGAAACTGTGAGTCCATTAAACCTCCTTTTCTTTATAAATTACCCAGTCTCTGGTATGTCTTTTTCACAGAGTGAGAACAGACTAATACACTAATGATAATTCATGATTTCTCATAAGGAATTTGTTATATTAACACAGTCATGATTTATTTGAAAACTATGACTCGTCTTGAAGAAAATAACCACAGATGTACAAGACAATTCATACAATGAGTAAATTTGAATTGGTAGATAATATACAAAGCTTACACACCAAAGTAAAAATGATAGTCTTGCACATTTACCTTTCATATATAGTTATTCATTTGGAATTTTCTAGGACTTAGTTTCAATTTCTCATTTCTTTATATACCAAAGTGGTTTCCCCAACACCATCTATAAATAATCCATCTTTCTACTGCTTGTTTGTGATGTCATGTATATCATACACCAAGTTCCTAAATATGCATGCTTCTGTTCTGAGTTCTTTATTATATTCCATCATGATATATTGTTATATTATAGTCTCAGGACTATTGTTAATGTTACATGACTTTTATTGGTGGTATTATTATTATGGTTTGGTAGACTGTTTTAACATCTTCCCACTCTATTCCCCTTTCTCTTATTTTTAAAAGGTGTCTTTGGTGGTTATATCATGTTTCAACTTGGTTAGGCTGAACTGTTTCCCAAAATTTGCTTCCCTGTATTTTTCCACTAAGGTTGGGCCACAAGAGAAATTCTTGTTTAAGATTTGGTGGGTGGAACTGAAAGGGCTTCCACTGTACAGTTTATGCTTAATATAGCTTACCTGCTGACTCACCTCATTGTTGTGGGGCAGCCGTGCAACTGATTCACCTTCCCCTCTATCCTCCTGCTTCTGCATGTATTAGGAATGATGTGTGTTTTTAGCTCCATGACAAAAGGCATGACCTTCCCCTGCAGATTATCCATACAACCCAAGTCAAGGGCAAGAAGAGCTGACACAGGCTTCAGACCATCTTCATGGATCCAGCTTATGTTGTGGGTTGCAGTTTATCCTTGCTCTCCCTTACTTTATTCATCGTCCCATCCTGACAGCATATCTTGTGGAATTCAAGACCTACCACTTAGAAAAGCTACCTAAATAGGGCCTACAGTTGCTTAAGGTCAGCTCACTCTAACAAATATATTCACCCTAGGCCCTGGCAGCAATCTAAGTCCTGTCTCTATGAATTTGCCTATTCTATATATTTCATGTAGATGGAGTCATATAATATGTGGCATTTTGTTATTGATTCTTTGACTCTATATTTTGTTTTCAAGGTTCATTCATGCTATATATTGGTACTTCATTCTTTTTTATTGCTGAATAGCATTCCATTGTATGGCTATGATACATATTGCTCAGCCATCCATTCATCAATTTATTGATTTCCAACACCATTTACTGAAAAGGCTATTTTCTCTCATTGAATGAAAATGAAATAATCACAAATGTGAGGGTTGCTTTCTTGATTTAAAATTTTATTGCACTGATCTATATGCTTATTTTTATGCCATTACTACATTGTCTTAATTACTGTCACTTTGTAGGAAGATTTGAAATTAGGTGTGGGAATCCTCTAATTTTGTTCTCCTTTCTCAAAGTTGCTTTGTCTATTAAGAGTTTCTTGCAGCCGGATACTGTGGGTCACTCCTGAAATCCCAGCACTTTAGGAGGCCGAGGCAAGCAGATCACCTGAGGTCAGGAGTTCAAGTCCAGCCTGGCCAACATGGTGATACCCTGTCTCTACTAAAAAATGCAAAAATTAGCTAGATGTGGTGGTGGGTGCCTGTAATCCCAGCTGCTCGGGAGGCTGAGGCAGGAGAATTGCCTGAACCTAGGAGACGGAGGTTGCAGTGAGCTGAGATTGCACCACTGCACTCCAGCCTGGGTGATAGAGTGAGACTCCAACTCAAAAAAAAAAGAAAAGAGTCTCTTGCATATTTTTATTTGAATTTTAAGGTCAGTTTGTCAATATCTGGAAAAAAACAGCTTGGATATAGATACAGATTAAATATGGATAGCACTGAACTATATATCAGTTTAGAGAGTATTGATGTCTTAAACAATATTGTCTTCCATTCATTTATTTGTTTTTAATTTTTAAGTTATATTTTATAGTTTTCAGTATAAAAGTCTTGTACTTCTTATTTATTTATTTATTTATTTATTTATTTATTTATTTATTTATTTATTGGGACAGGATCTCACCCTTTCACCCAGGCTGGAGTGCAGTGGCATGATCATGGCTCACTATGGTCTCCATTTCCTGGGCTCAACTAATTCTTCTGTCTTAGCTTCTCAAGTTGCTGGGACTACAGGTGCTCTCCATAATGCTGGGCTAATTTAAAAAAATTTTTTTTATAGAGACGGGGTCTCATCATGCTACCCAGGCTGGTCTCAAATTCCTGGGCTCAAGTGATCCTTCCATGTTGGACTCCCAAAGTGCTGGGATTACCTGCATGAGCCACTGTGCCTGGTCTATTGAACTTTTTTTAAAAAGATATATTCATAAATATTTTATTTCTTGATGATGCTATAAATGGAATTATTTATGTAAGTTTTTTTTAGATTGTTCATTGCTAGTGTATAGAAATACAATTGATTTCTGTGTATGGATCTTGTATCCTACAATGTTCTTAAACTTCTACAATTCTTGAGTTTAGTAATTTGAGTTTTTTGTTTGTTTCTTGGTATCTAGATAAAGGTCTGTCAATTGTGTTATATTTTCAAATAACCAACTTTTGATTTTATTTCCTTTTATTGTTTTTCTATACTCTATGTCATTTATTTCTGCTCTAATCTTTATTATTTTCTTCTGCTTCCTTTAGGTTTAATTTGCTCCTTTTCTCGGTGTTTTAAAGTGGAAGTTTGAGTTACTGATTTGAGTTTTTTCTTCTTTTTAAATATAGATGTTTACAGCTATAAGTTTTCTTCTAAGCACTGCTTTAGTTAAATCTTATAAATTTTGATTTTTTTTTTTTTGAGACAGAATCTCACTCTGTTGCAGGCTGGAGTGCAGTGGCACAATCTAACCTCACTGCAACCTCCACCTCCTGGGTTCAAGCAATTCTCCTGCCTCAGCCTCCTGAGTAGCTGGGATTACAGGTGCACACCACCACGCCTGGCTTATTTTTTTTGTGTGTGTATTTTTAGTAGAGACGGGGTCTCACCATGTTGACCAGGCTGGTCTCAATCTCCTGACCTTGTGATCCACCCGCCTCGGCCTCCCAAAGTGCTGGGATTACAGGCGTGAGCTACCGCCCCCAACCTTGGATCACATTGTTAAAAAATAAGCCACCTGATCCAAAACTTACATATATATAAAGTATATAAGATATATATCTTTCTCTTTCTCTCTTTCCACATATGCACATGCACACATACATGCATACATGTATTTTTAAGACATTACAGAGGTATTATGGTTAGGCTTGGAATTAGAGAGGGAATAAGAATTAAAAAACATAATAAAATAAAATAAAATAATGGCTTTTCATGATCTTTTATGTTAGCATGTCAGAAAGTGAAAAATGTGATTAATTGAAACTTATGCACTAACATCAAATAATTTAGTTGCTAGATCTTTTTTTTTATGATTTTGACAACTTTTAGATGCTAATGCATTTTCGTTATAACCAATCTGGTAACAAATACAGAGAAAGAATTAGTTTCCTCTGACTAATTTGACATGTTAACCCCTTTAAAGGATCAAATGATACAAACAATAGCAGCTTTAAAACTAAAAAGAAAATATTGCTTATTGAAGGAGCAGTAGGAGAAGCATAGAAAAAATATATTTTCCTACTTTGGTTCTGCAATGCTCAGTAGCAAGATTTCTTAGTTTTAACTGACATTCAGACACTTATGTTACACTTTCATAGCAGTCTAGTAAGAAGAGTTTAGGTCAGGAACCACGCTTCCAGAAAGAAAGCACATCCATTCCCATGGGAGTTTTTTTCACAACAGTCTCTGCAGCAATTCATTCATAAGCTATTTCTTTTTCTTTCGAGGTGATATAGTTCAGGTAAAAAGGAATGAGATTCACATAAAGTAGGTGTGGGAGTTGTTCTGGCTTCAACACCTCAGGAGAACATACCTTTTGTAATATCTTCCATTGCATAGCTTCCAGATTCTTTACAAATGATATATCCACTTCCAGAAATCACTGTTACTGGAGCAATGTCAAATGACACAATCCCTTAGATTACCAAGGGAACAAAGACAGAATAAATTTGGTAACTGTTCAACAGGCAGAACAGAGTACAAAATAAGCAACAAATGATGCAATGTTGCATTCAAACTGAAGACAATATTTTTTATTCCCTGTGTTCTGCTTCTTGCCTTCTTATTAGCTTTTTTCTTACCAAGGCTTCACCTTTTGTTCCTAGGCTATAGTTACCCAAATCAGACCAAAGTGCTCATGCATGCTTCACCCAGTTTAGAAGCAATTACATTTATGCTAACTATGAAAACTGATACAGCTAAGTCTCACTACAAAAAAAAAATCAAATAATTCATTAAAGACATAAAAAGATTGACCACTAAACATTTATTTGAATAACTCTTAATTCTTAAAAAAAATTATTTTAAGTTTAACTTAGCATTGCTTTGTTCTTCCTTGAATTAGAGCATTGCTGTAATATTCTCTTATTCCCTAAGTAGCTTTTTCCTCAATTTTCAATTTATTGTCACCTACACCTTCTAAGCCACTTATATCTGGCATCATTGCTAATTTCCCTCTTCCCTGGATCTTTCATTTTTAATCAATCAACAAATATTGCCAATTTGTATCTCATATTTTCATCCACTATATTAGTTTGTTTTCACACTGCTATGAAGAACTGCCCAAGACTGGGTAATTTATAAAGGAAATAGGTTTAACTGACTCATAGTTCAGCATGGCTGGGGAGACCTCAGGAAACTTAAAATCATTTTGGAAGGTGAAGAGGAAACAAGGCACCTTCTTCACAAGGCGGCAAGAAGGAGAAGAGCTGAGCAAAGGGGGAAGAGCCCCTTATAAAACCATCACATCTCATGAGAACTCATTCACTATCAGGAGAACAGCATGGGGGAAACCACCCCCATGATTCAATTACTCCTACCTGGTCTCTCCCTTGACACGTGGGGATTATGGGGATTACAATTCAAGATGAAATTTGAGTAGGGACACAAAGGCTAATCATATCATCCACATATTCTCTTTATTTTCCATTCACTTATTTCTTATTAGCAAAAGCTAATGTATATATTAATTTTTTAGTTTCAAGAAGCTGTATTATGTAAAGAAGGGTTTCTAGATAGTGATGTGAACCCAGAAAATCTGAGACAGGTCTCAGTTAATTTAGAAAGTTTATTTTGTCGAGGTTGAGGACTTGCCTGTGACACAGCCTTAGGAAGTCCTAACAAAATTTGCCCGAGGTGGTTGGGGTACAGATTGGTTTTATGCATTTTAGGAAGACATGAGACATCAATCAATATATGTAAGCAGTACATTGGTTTGGTCCGGAAAGGCAGGACAACTTGAAGCAAAGGCAGGAAGACTTGAAGATTCCAAGGAGGGAGCTTCTAGGTCACTTAGATAGGTGAGATATAATGATTGCATTCTTTTGAGTTTCTGATTAGCCTTTCCAATGGAGGCAATCAAATATGATCTGTCTCAGTGAGCAGAGGGATAACTTTGAATAGAATGGGAAGCAGGTTTGCCCTAAGCAGTTTCCAGCTTGAGTCTTCCTTAGTGATTTTTGGGGGCCCAAGATATTTTCCTTTCACAGTGGTATAGAAATTTTTAAAGGGGAAGGAAAGAATAACTCTAGTATGATCTGGTGGAAAAACCAACCTACCAACACTGACTCTTCAATGAGGTGTTGAAGTGATAGTCAGTATGTTCACTCTTCACCCTTCTAGATGCTTCCTCAATGCTGTCCTTCACCCTCAGGGTCAGCAAGAGGTATGCTCTGGGATTCTTTTGCTATCAAGATGGTGAGTTTCAATAAGTAATTGATATTGTATTTTCTGCCTTACATTGTGGCCCCTTTAAAAGGATGTCATTGTAGCTTAGGTATTTAACTCATTGGTTGAATCTCAGGCACTGGAACCTATGACCACAATGGCATCAATAAGGCCTTGAGAATAATCCAGTTTTCATAGGTCAAAAAGGATAACTAAGTAAAATTAGAGCAGTATCTTCTATCTTATGAGTCATCTACATAATATAATATTTTTACTTCAGGACTTAGATTATTCAGTGATAAATTATGCATAAAATTGTAGTTGAAAATAAGAAAGAAAAAAGTCCTTCTTGAACTTAACATTGAAAACCCAGACCAAGCTATACATTAACTCATATGTGAACATGGTTTCTAAATTTCTGAAATGTAGTCAAGAGTGGCAACACACTCCTGTAGGCCAGCTACTTGGGAGGCAGAGGTGGGAGGATCACTTGAGCACAGGAGTTCAGGCTGCAGTGAGCTATGATTGTGCCTATGAAGAGCCACTGCACTCAAGCCTGGGCAACATAGCAAGATCCTATCTAAAAAAATAAAATATTCTGAAATGTAGATCATAAACTATATTAATATGTTAAAATGGAGAAATTAAGTAACTATTTATTTGTTTTCTATTTAAAAAGTTAAGCTTTTGCCCGCAGAAATTATGTGCATATGCCCTTTACAGAGGATGATGAACCGTTGTGTGCAAAGATCTCAGAGAATGCCTCCAGATTCACTGTTCTGTCTTCTACCTTGTTGAGCTCAGAAGTCAAGCTGGAAAACTAGCCAGAGGAATAGGCCTTCTCTCAGAAACAAAGAAATGAACAGAAAAAACTGTTATTTTATAGGATTCCCCAAAAGTTTAAAAAATAAGAATAAACCTGGCTTTCTGGGCCCTCTAAAAATAGTAAGTATTTGTAGCACTAGGTTGGACTCACCACTTAGCCTTGAATTGAATATTTAAAGCTTACATAACATATAGAAAACATCTCTTCATTTCAAAGGAGAAACAAAAAGGAAACCCAGAGATTTAAAATTTATTAGCCCTAGATAGCTAGTTAGGGGCAGAGCAGAAACAAGAAACAAACTTCTCGACTCCAAATTCAAGTCCTTTCTGCCCATTTTACTTTCTAAAAATAGGAAAATCAGATTAAACATTCCCTAGACTGAATTCCTGTCCTTGGAAAGGGTGAATTCCTGGTCTGCTACCTAAACTTGCATGTGGATCTTCGGTATGTTGACCACGAGTTAATGACTCATTCCCTATTAACCATAGTTATTCTCTCTCCCTACTCTTTGAACAGCCCACAGTCATTTCTGTTATTACAAGATTTGACTCTCTGCTCTCTCTGTAAATCTCATTTTTAAAATTCTCTTTTCCTTGATCACTGTACCCTGGAATACCTCCTTGTTGTCTCTTGTACCTCAGGGGCATTGTACTTCTCAGTTGTGATGTTCTTCCTCCAGATACTCTCACAGCTCACTCCCTTGCCATGGTCAAGTTTCTGTGCAAACGTCACCCTGTAAGTGAGGACTTTCTTAACTATTCTATGTAAAGTAGGTCTACTCTAAAAATCCCCCTCTCTTTTCTGTGAGATATAAAAATATTTTTAAAATCTTTTATATATTTGTATAGCCCTCATCATTTGGCATACTATGCTTTTTGCATATTTATTTATTTCTTAAGTATCCTATTCACTAGGAATACAACTTCCATTAGGGTAGATTTTGGTTTGCTTCGTGTACTGCTGCATGTGCAAAACCTACAACAGTGCTTGGCATAGTTTGTGTTCAATACATTTGTTGGACTAAATTAATCAACACTTAATGCTTCTTCCCCAGGTGCCCATTTCTCCAACTTCCTTCACTCCTCAACATATATCACCACTGTCTTTCATCTAGGACTGCTAGGCCTTCCAACTATAAAGAAATATAAAAAATGAAAACTTTAGTTAAATTTCTCAGGGGAAATTACACCAGTAAAACGACAACAAGGCAATGGGTCTCTTTTGGATGTGCACACATTGAGGAAATGAACCATTTATGTCAAATGTAGTAATAAGCCTTCCTCTTTCTCTACCTTGTTCTCAATGGTATAAAATCAGATCTTTTCTCAAAACTCCCATAACAAGTTAAAAAAACATTTATCTCAACATTTAATACACTTTCCTATGTTTGTAAATATTGCTCTCTCTAATCTGATTATGAATTTCTTAAGATCGGAGACAGTTCTCCATCTTTCTTTTCCTCAGGATGATTAAAACATAGGAAATGCTAGTAAATTTTTACTTAATTGACTTGAATTAAATATTACAGTGAAATTAAGACAAGAAGATCTCCATGAAGCCAGTGACTGCCTTGTATCTCTAGAATTCCAATGCTTGGAGCAAAGCTAACAGATAGCAGGAAGTCTGTAAAGGTGAAATTAATGAATAAAATAATGAGGCAGAGTTGGAAAAAAGCAAAAGTTCAGAGTAACAGGAAGACTGATTAAGCGATTCATGCCAAAAAGCAAAGTAAAAGTATTTTTAAGTCTGAGACAAAGAGACAGAAAGAGACTACCTGAAAGTCATCCAGAAGGAGACTACTTCACCAAAAAAAGGTGTGACTCACTATATTACTCTATTTGCTTTATTGTGATACTTTCGAACCAAACTCACAATATCTCTGAGATATGTCTCTACTTACATATCTATGATAAAGTTTAATTCATAAGTTAGGCACGGTAAGAGATTAAAACAATCACTAACAATAAAATAGAACAATTATAATAATATACGGTAATAAAAGTTGTATAAATATGATGTCTCAAATTACTGTAATATTTTTGGACTGTGGAAAGATAAACCATGGATAAGGGGAGACTACTGTATTCCAAATCTTATTTCACTTATTTTATTTTCCTAAACACTCTCACTGAAACTTTACTTCACAAATAGATTCAATGGGCCTAACTTCCCTACGTGATTATTAATATTTTAAGAACTCATATTTATATACTATTGCTTTAAATAATATTCACCTAAAGGAAGCTCTCCATAAGTTTTTAAACACTTATAATTTATTAAGCATGTTATACTAATGAATTACTATCAATTTACCTATATAACATTTTTTTTTTGTTAAGAAATCCAAATATTTTTATAGGGTGACCCCTGGAAATCTGTCATTCTATTAGGGGCCTGTTAACCACTGTGAAAGAAGATAAATGTGCATAGGCACTGAAATAGCTACTTATCCTGAGAAGCCAAATCCCATTAACCCAGCTAAATTGACTCTACTCACACTGATTTGATCAGAGAATCACTTAGCAGAAATCAGAGGCATTTGCCACTGTGGGCGAAAATAGTATCCTAAACTGCTTTCAAGTTTGAATCAAGGACAGCAATATGATATAAACGAAAGTATCAACAATGAATAATTCTGGGTCATTCCTACCCACTGCTTCTGAAGAAATGTAGGCTGACTTTATTTGAGCTATTGTATGTATAATTGTTAAATAGCATTGCTCAGTAAAAAATCAATGGCAAACCCCAAATAATTTAATGAGTGCACATGCAATTTGAGTGTTACCAATTTTTAGAGTTGCATTATTATATGCATATATATCATAAAAATTACATATTAACAATTCCCCAAAGTTTAGATGATTATTATATAATTTTAAAAGTTTAAGTTTGTTTCATTATATTGTTTTCATTATCACTAGTAACATTTGTTAGTCTTTCTTGGTGAGAGTCACTATGGTAAATGCTTTACACAGATCATCACATTCAATCCTTATAAGAATCTTTAGAGGCAAATTTCCAAATTATCATTATTTCCCTATAAAATTAAATAAAGAAGCACAACATGACTAAGGAAAGGTTTCTGTCCACAACACATTTACAGTTTTAAAAAATGTTAATAGGTTGGTAGGTTTAAGTTATACAAATATTAAGCAGGTGCTGGGCACAGTGGCTCATGCCTATACTCCCAACACTTTGGGAGGCCAGAGCAGCCAGATTGCCTGAGCCCAGGACATTGAGACCAGCCTGGGCAACATGGCGAAGCTGCGTCTCTACAAAAATACAAAAAATTAGCCAGGCATGGTGGCATGCTCCTTTAGTCCCAGCTACTCAGGAGGCTGAGGTGGGAGGATCGCTTGAACCAGGGAGGTTGAGGCTGCAATAGGCCATGATTTTGCCACTGCACTCAGCCTAGCAACAGAGAGAGACCCTGTCTAAAAATAAATAATAAAAATATTAAGCAAAGCAAGGCGTAATTTAGTACAACTTGATTGATGCAGAACCTCTAGGAGATGTGAAGCCACTAAGAACAGAAATGATTTCAGATAATCCCATAGAGAAAATAAAATTAAGCTGTGAGAAATTGGTATATATTTCATAGATTCACAGGGAAAGGCAAGATATTTGAGCCAATGATAACAACATAATTATAATTAAAAACAGAAGCTGGAATATAATGAAATAAAAGCTTTCCAGAAATACCTTTATTATAGAAAGTTTTTTCTTTATTCTGTCACTTATCTGGTTTATTTAGAAAATAATTCTGTAAAATGTAGGTGAAGTATTTAGTATCCCCAAGTCTTGTATCATTATCCAAAATATTTGTTTATGTAATTCCCTTTATAAAATGTGCTTCTTTGGATTGTAGCAGTTTGTATTCTTCCTTAGTTGTATTAATGAAATGCATTCTTTTCACTCAATAAGCTAATTTTGAATCATGACTTTTTTTATATGACCTTGTAGTTTCATAATCTTTGTAAAGAAAAACAAGCAAGTTTTTAAAGCAGTTTTAAAGTGCACATTTTTTAACAGAGAAAAAGAATATTTATTTACAATGTCTACTCTTAGTTCATACACTAAGAGCCTCTGTCTACTGAACAAATAGGTAACATAACCAAGAAAGGAAAACAAGTTTTGTCTAAGGATTGCTAATTATTTGAAAAGCTTATTTTCCTTCTTTGGTTATCTTACCTGTCTTAAAAGAACATAGTCTGCCCATAAAAACAATATTGTATGCTCCGTTTAGAGAACAAAGCCACAAATCTTTCTGTGTGGCTGAAGACTCTCTCTGGGATCTATAACAATAAGTTATTTTTTTGGAGCATAACCATTTTGAGTTCACTCAACTATGCTCCTACACTTTTTTTTTTCCACTAGGAGAGGATTCTAGAAACTAATCCCATCCACAGCACAGCTGACCAAGGATGAACAAGAATTTCTTCAGATTTTTCATAACAATCTCCTCATATATTTCTGTATAGAAGAAAAAAAACAAAACTGTTTGCTAATATCTTTATGCCCCTGAGCACAACAAAACCCTCAGCTTACACTGAAATGACAATGTTACGTAATATTCCAAAGTCAGCTATTCTCTTCATGCCTCATATCCCTTTAATGTCTGCTAGTGTTCCCCACTGACTATCTGTTCTTCATTAAATATATGGACATTTAGAATACATAGAGGAAGAGAGAGCGAGAGATTTGGATGGGGTTTTCCCCTCTTTTTCTCTTTTTCTTTGACTTATCTAAGCCCTATCTTTCCTGAAAACATTTTTCACTCTGCTCTCTGGAAATCAAATTTCATGTTTCCTAAGCTTCCCTATGAACTCAAACTTCTCACAAAAATTCTCTGTCTCCAATTTTTTTGTCTCAACTTAAATAAATCTTTAACAGGAATAATCATTTTACTTAAACTTTTTCCAAAACAAGTTATTTTTGTTTTGTGTCTCATAAGCCATTTGGCAATATCAATCACTCACTCCTTGCCCAGCTCTGCCAGTAACCTACATCCTTATCAGGCTCCCAAGGTCACTTGAAAATTTTCAACTAGGCAACAAAATTTCTCTATACCTAAAATGCCAGCATTGTCTTGACACGTTGACCACCTTAATTCCATTAAACTGGGCTTCCACCTCCTTAAGCCATTTATATTTGCAATCATAGCCTTTCTTTTTAGTGCCCAGAACCATTTAACTCCTGCTTTACTTTTTTACAACTCGATGGTAGCATCCTTGCTGTTCCCTAAATATGACAAGCTTATTCTCAACACTGTGCCTTTGTACAAACTCTCTTTTCTCTGGAATATATGTGTCAGTTAGGATGATTTTAGTTGCAAGTAATGGAAAAAATGCAAATTGTCTTAAACAATAGGACACATAATATAATGTAAATGAAATTTCAGGGAGATCAGGCTTTATGGTTTATTGACCCAGAGCTCAACAATGTAATAAAGTTCTTCAGTTCTTTCCATTGTTAGTTCAATCATCCTTTATGCTGGCTGCATTCTAAATTCAGTCTTCATTTTCTGAGAACGTCTGCCAGTTGGAATTATGATGAGATGCTTTCTTGTTGACATCTAGAGTTGGATTCTTTCACCCTCCAGAAGAGTGATTGACTTCCCTTCCAAGAAACCTTCATAAAGCTGCCTTTTTATCTTATTCTCCAAGTGGTGGCAGGGGGAGACATATCACCATCCCTAAATCAGTAACTGTGGAAAGGCAGAAGGGATTACTTTACTTAGTCAACAGTAATTAGAATCTAACTTTAAATCTAGGGAAGGGGGTTGGTAAGACATTTATGTGTATGGCTAAATGAGTGTTCCCTATTCATCTAACATGATACAGGGACTGAGTTCAAAGAATCTACAGAAAAGAATATTTCCTAAGATCCTTATAGCAGTGATTTGTAAACCTCATTTTTGTTTGAGAAACATGTTCTCCAAATAAATGCTATGCAGGAGAAAGTAGTCGAAAGATATTAAAACAGGGCTCTCTTTCTTGCAAAAGATAGGAGTTAGTGATGTTTCCACACCCACCTAGAAAGCTTCTAAATGTAAACTTGCATCTCTGGAGAAATCCTGGACTTCTCCAGGGGCATAATTTGAAAACTGCTATCTTAGATTGCTTCTTGAGTGATGCTCAATTATCTCAGCCAGGTTAGTAAATGTAGCTAATTGCTAATATGAAAATTATGGGCCAGATATGGTGGCTCATGCCTATAATCCCAGCACACTGGGAGGCTGAAGTAGAAGGATTGCTTGTGGCCAGGAGTTCAAGAACAGCCTGAACAACAAAGCAAGACATTGTCTCTACAGAAATTGTATTAAAAATCAGTCAGGCATGGTGGTGTGCACCTGTAGTCCTAGCTACTCTGGAGGCTAAGGAGGGAAGATCGCTTGAGCCCAAGAGTCCAAGGCTATAATGAGTTACTACTGCACCATTGCACTCCAGTCTGGGCGGCGAAGTGAGATTTTGTCTCTAAAAAAAAAAAAAAAAAAAAAAAAGAAAAGAAAATTATATCTAAAGTTCCTTGTTTCCTTGTTATTGACTGAATAAAATCTATTATTCTAAATATCAGGAATGCTTCATCATCGCTGATATTTAATTATGAAAATGAAGAAGCTAATTGTGATTCTACTTAACACAGCACTTTTTAACTCTACAAAAAGACCAATATCAGGACTGCATATAAAGTCCACATATTTTTCATGAAGATGTATTCATCTACATAAAAATCAAATCTAGAGTTCGTTTGCTTATGCTAGGAAATGGCTTAACACAAAAAAAGTCTTCATTAGACTATTTCATTTAGAACCATTTTCTAGACCTGTTGGAGTACGTTTATTACTACTAGAGTTTTTTTTTTTTTTTCCCATAACCAAATCCATTACTATATTGAGCCTGAAAGACTCATTTACATGTTGAGTTATTTACATTTTGGATTCTTGACATTTTGATTAAAAGTTTAAAGACCAAATCTGCGAGCACCTACATTTATCTGAACCATGCATTTCCACTGTTCCCTTATTGATTGAGTTATGGGAAAGAGGGATAATAAATGTCAGTATTTTTAGTAATCAGGTCATACTCCCTACAAGGACATTGCTTTTCTAGAAGAATAGTCAGAGATCAGCCACATGGAGGATTTCATAAAGTGCATTAAACTCAGATATCTGAATTGACTTTTTGTGAGCTAGCAAGTCTTGGTACTGCCTGCTAACCTTTTATCAGGGACAACCACTGTGATGTAAGAATAAAGTAAGCAGTAGAATTATTACACTTTTGAAAACAACTGGTTTCCATTTCTTGGACTTCAAAAGCTGTGCAGAACTTCTGCCCTACTCAAGTTACTGCAGAGTCCCTGGATAGAAGTAAAACCAGGATTATATTTCAGAGGACCAAACTCTCAATTTGGTTGTTAGTGGTGCACATTTTTATTGTTGTTTATCATAAACTAAGTCAATAAGAATTCTGGGCATGTGTGCCACATTTCTCATCTTTTTGTTCATAGCACCCATCATTAATCAGAGCTGGCCCCTTTTGTTGCATCTATTTTCCTGATTTAATACATTAAACATAAATTTAAAAGTGAGATGATTTTGAAAGATATAATGCATAAGACAGACAAAACAATAACTGTATAAACCAAATAGCATAAAAGAGGATGGATTGCCATTAAAATAAATGAGCATTTAAAAACTGAAGAAAGATACATAAGGAAAGCATGAGAGAACAAAAGTTCATAAGATTAAGATATTGCTTCCCTTAAGAAACTAAGGTTTAGTTTGGGTGTAACCGCTCATGCCTGTAATCCCTTCACTTTAGGAGGCTGAGGTGGGAGGATTGCTTGAGGCCAGGAGTTAGAGACCAGCCTAGGCATCATAGCTAAACTCCCATCTCTCCATAAAAAATGGAACTAAGGTTTAAATGAATGTATAATACAAAAATAAATAAAAGTGAAGAAAAATGGGAAAGAAACTTAAGACTGGCTAAGGAAAAAGTAGAATCTTCTTGAACAAGTTTATCAAATGACATAGAATAAGCAAAATAAACAGCTGAAAATAAATTAGATAACTGATGAAATGATAAAGTTTTAGAAGTCAAATGTGGTTCAGAGAGTGGAGAGTAGGAATGCAATTTAATTACTAATGAATGATAGACTAGCTGATATATCACAAATTCAGGCTGACAACTACAAATGGCCCTTAGGTTTCACAGTAACGTAAGTCTCTCTCTAGTCAGTTTTCCACTAGTACACTCTGCAAATGTCAATGCCTCCACTGAACCTTGTGATTATTTAGCCTAGAATGCTAGGGAGCACTGTTCTCATGAAAACTTGCTTGAATGGCAACCCCTAGAGGTCAGCGGGCACAGCCTGCTCATCTGTGCGTGGCTGCCCTGCCTTCCATGATGTTTTCAAATCCCCTCCGCTCTCCTCTGCAGTCTGAGCACTGGTGCCATCTCTTCAGTCATTTTCAGCAGCAGATAACTTTACCTTCCTCTTTTTTTTTTTTTTTTTTTTTTGAGACGAAGTCTTCCTTTGTCGGCTGGAGTGCAGTGGCGCTATCTCGGTTCACTCCGCCTCCCGTGTTCAAGTGACTCTCCTTCCTCAGCCTCCAGAGTAGCTGGAACTGCAGGTGCACGCCACCACTCCCAGCTAATTTTTTTGTATTTTGGTAGAAAAGGGGTTTCACCATCTTGGCCAGGCTGATCTCAAACTCCTGACCTCAAGTGATTCACCTGCCTTGGCCTCCCAAAGTGCTCGGATTACAGGCATGAGCCACCACACCCGGCCTTACCTTCTTTTTATGACAGATAGAAAACAGCAAATGGAACTACATCAAAATTCTGCCACCAAGTCCACAAATATTTTTGCACCTGTCTCCATCCTTTCCTATCATTCTGCAGGATGAAAATATTCTCTGAATATTCTCTGAATTCTTGTCTAGACAGAGTTACTCCACCATCAAGTATCCCCTTTTTCTCAATGTCTTCATAATGTATCCATTTATCATTTATATTATAAGAACTTAATTACATCAAAATCCTCTCTCTTCATCTTTATCATCCTCCAGCTTCTGTCCCACTCTCCACATCTTCATGACAATTTTTCTCAAAAAGGCTTGCCATTTCTGCTCACAGTAAATGCCCTTCAATCTGCTGTAACTTAGGTTGCTAGGGAATTCTATGTTACTAAACACAGGGAGTACTTTTCTTGCCTAAGCTAAGTGAGCGTAAGTGACATGTCTAGGTTCCAACATCCTTAAAAGGAAAGAAGCAACCTCTTCATTTCCCTTTCATTTAGGCTGAAATCCATTCATGATGGCACAGGCTGGAGTAGCCACTGTAATAAAACTTTGCCCAGAGATAAAACCTTGAGTTGAAATTAACAGACTTGCCTGGCCAGCCCTGTACCACCTTCTTCTGTATTGCCAAAGAAGATAGAAATGTTTTCTGTCTTGTTTAAACCATTGTGTTTGGAATTTTTTTCATTGTATCAGCTTAAACTAAACCTTGACTAATATACTATATTGTTGATGAGGACTCTCAAATCTATTTCTCCATTTTAATCTACAAATTCTTATATTTAATGACTTAATTGATGTGTCTCAGAGACACAAAAATAAATAAATCCAAACTTTTTAACTTTTGATCTCCATCTGCAAACTTGATTTTTCTCTGGTTTCCTGGTCTCTGATACTGACGCCATCAACTACTGCTCTTGGAATCGTTTGGACCCCTCCCAATTCCTCATATACTTGCTGTCATCCACATCCAATCCCTTTCTGTTGATCCGCCTTACAAATGTATCAGTTGTCTATTTCTCTTTATTTTCACCACCATCAGCATAGTCAATCCTCTCTCACCTGACTCTTCCAAAGTCCTTACTATAATCTACAAGGGCCTACATAATGCAATGCTTCATGTTACTGAGTCTTTTCAGAGGACACTCTATGTTCTTTCCATGCCAGCTCTCCTGAGCTTTTCTCATTTACTCACTACTATTGGACTGTTTGTCCTCTCAAAGCCTTTGCACACACTTCTGCCCAGAACACTCTTTTCTCCTTGTGTAAGTAAGTGCTACTCCTAGGTAGGTGCTACACTTCATGACTCAACATCACTTTCTAAGGGGAAAACACTTCCTGAACTCCCAGGCCAGGGGCTAGGATGGGTTTTCCTGTTCTATACTCCTGTGGTCTACTGAAAATCTAGGTGTTTGTTTGTTTGTTTGAGATGGAGTCTCGCTCTGTCGCCCAGGCTGGAGTGCAGTGGCGTGATCTTGGCTCACTGCAACCTCCACCTCCCGGGTTCAAGCGATTCTCCTGCCTCAGCCTCCTGAGTAGCTGGGATTACAGGCGCATGCCACCACGTCTGGCTAATTTTTTTGTATTTTCACTAGAGATGGGGTTTCACTATGTTGGTCAGGCTGGTCTCGAGCTCCTGACCTAGTGATCTGCCCGCCTTGGCCTCCCAAAGTGCTGGGTTTACAGGCATGTGCCACTGCACCTGGCCTGAAAAATCTAGTTTTAAACATTAAACTTGTCATAATTTAATTATTTATTTACTTGAAGTAATTGCATATCCCATTTTCCTACCTAGAGTGACAGAACCATGTCTCTAAGCCCGCACTTGAGATCAGACACAGTTCCTTGTACATACTTTAGGTACTCAATGACAAGTTTTGACTTCTGATTTTAAAAATAATAAAGGATGGAAAGTTCTAAAGTATTTTAAATTTTAGGGTTTATTTCAAGTATATTTCACTGGGGCTTAAGAGACCTTATTAATTATTATGTACTGATACGATGAATTGCACTCACTCCCCCACTTGTTTAGTGAAAGGAAATATCCTGGTTTATACATTTGAGACTATGGAACAACAAACTATTTTTAGAATTTCTCTTCTAAGAATAAAAATGCTGATGCAAACTTTGTCATCAAAAACACAACAAATGAGTTTTGAGTAAGAATGAAAAATACCAGATGAGAGAAAATGCAGTAGGGACAAATCTATGTAAGACTAGCATTTGCTCTTTCAGTGTGACCTGATAGTTTTCCTCCAATCACTTAATTTGGCAAGGCAAGTAAGCATAGTGTGATTTTTTAAAAAATCCTATCTATTTCTCCAGTTTGGCTTTTCAAATAAGGGTACCAGTTGCTATTTTGTTGTTGTTTTTGTAGTTGTTTATGTCATCTACTTTATACAACTGGATGTCTGGGCTCAATGCTAAACTCTGGAATCTAAAATGGCTGTTGTGTGACTCTTTTATATTCAAAATTCTCTACCCTACAATTTTTAATATATTTGTGTCAGCCTGGCCATCTAATAAATTAAAAAATCCCATCATACTCTTGGTGAGCCCCTATCTTTTGATCTAATTACTTTGTGTTGAATAGTTAAGACATATTCTCATTTGAGAATAACCCTTTTCAATTTTTTTTTTATTAAAGAAGTATCTGTCTTTTTTTTTTTTTTTTTTTTGTGGAGATAGAGTCTCACTCTGTCAACCAAACTGGAGTGCAGTGGCGTGATCTCGGCTCACCACAACCCTGCCTCTCAGGCTCAAGCGATTCTCCTGCCTCAGCCTCCCAAGTAGCTGAGATTACAGGCGCGTGCCACTACCATCCGGATAACTTTTTGTATTTTTAGTAGAGATGGGGTTTCACCATGTTGGCCAGGCTGGTCTTGAACTCCTGACCTCAAATGATCCACCCGCCTCAGCCTTCCAAAGTGCTGGAATTACAGGCATGAGCCACCGCACCCGGTCTGTGTAAATATTTTATAACAATCCTCCGAAAAGAGCTCTACCACCATGGTTCCCACAATTAAGTTGATGTGTATGTATATAGAATATACTTAATTCTATTTATTCATTTAACTTAAAGAAGCAACGACTTCAAAGGTCACTAAAAATTACATGAAAATCTAAAATGTCATAGGAAAATTTCCTTTTAAAAGAAGAGTGCTGACTCTGAAAGAATAGTGAAAGTGGTTTAAATTATTTATCTTCCAAGAAGAGGACCTTTGGATATCCCAAGATAAAAGTTATATTAATAGTTCTTTCATTCGATCAATATCTCAACGTCATTGGCAGTTTGTTCCGTAATGGGAAAAAAAAGCCTATTTCTTAAAGGACGGCAGCACAAAACAACTAAATAGAAGAAATCTGTGGCAACTCAACACTTTAGGATTCAGACAAGTGATTGAGAGAACATAAATAAGAAGGCTTGTAAACCATACACATACACACGTGCACACATACAGAGTTTCATCCATAAAAAGACAGCATCATCCACATTTATCTGACCATGCCATTACACAGATTGAAAACTGAGGTGAGGGTAGTACAACAGATAATTCTTTAAAAATGTAAATGTTAATTGAGTTTGAAGAATAAATGGTCTTTTATGATACTTCTGCTTCATGGTTCTAACTGTTTCAAGTTTCATCCTGAGAGATACAGGGAAAATGAAACAGAAAATCCAATCATTGACATTCAAAGCAAGGTCTTCACTTTAGGGACTTACTCCTCCATACAGTAGCTTTTTTCACTTCAAACTATTTAAGTTCATTTGAGTTTTCTATATAGTAAATGGTGGATTAAACAAATGCACAGAAAGCAAAGCTTTCTAGAATGTCTGTCAACAAAATACAAGCCATAGTTGAGTATCAAAGTAATTGTAGGAAAGATAACAGGTGAAAGTCAATCAAATCTGCATTGCTCTTCTCTGAGGTTTAGTCAGGAGCATTCTAGACCTTAGAAGATGGTACTCTTCAGCCAACCCAACTCCACTAATATAAAAAGAAAAAAATCATATGTATATCTAATGATCCAGGGTAATGCAAGATGGTGGGGGCCACTTAAAAATATGAAACTCAAGCTCATTTTTAAAAATAACTTCATTTTTCCTCTCATCCATACATCTTCTTAACTGAGATGTCAACAAATATAAATTGACTTACATAAGTTCATATCCTACAGCTTTCTCTAAGCACTCTGGATAGACTGATGTTAAGAAAATTTTTGAGATTAATTAAACTTTTGTCTGACCTCAACCAAAGGTAAAAATAGCAAAAAGAAAATTAATTTACTCCAAGCCAAAAGAAGAAATTGTGGGTTTCTGCTCTATGTCTATGAAATAGAAATGCTAAAAACTATCTCCTGTTCCCTGTGCCTCAGAATGTAGCTTGATAAATCAGAAGAAAAAAATGGATGCAAAAATCTTCACAACCATAAAGAACAAAATAAATTCTAAGTGTTAGTATTGCTCCTCTTTTCAGAGACTTCATCCAACTTTAAGCATTATGATAAATGAAGGACAAAAAATGTGACGTTATTGTTATTTTTATGAACCTTTCACCAGCACAACTTGATTAATCAAAACTTCTTCAAGGAAATGTATTATTTTAATCATTTAATTAGATTTTTAAAATAGATTTTATGTTTTAGAGCAGTTTTAGGTCCACAACAAAATCAAGCAAAGGGTACAGAGATTTTTCATATACAGGCTGGTCCAACACATGAATAGCCCACCTCACCTCCTATTATCAACATCTCTCACCAAAGTGGTGCAATTGTTACAGTTAATCAAACTACATTGGCATTTCACTATCATCCAAAGTTCATAGTTTACATCAAGGTTTGCCCTTGGTGTTGTATGGGTTTGGACAAATTTATGACATGTATACACTGTTATAGTATCATACAGAGGAATTTAACTTCCCTAAAAATCCTCTGTGTTTCACTTTTTTATTCTTCTCTTCCCCTTAATCCCTAGCAATGATTGATCTTTTTACAGTTTGCATAGCTTTGCCTTTTCCAGAATGTCATATAGTTGGAATCACACATTAAGTAGCCTTTACAGACTGGCTTCTTTCATTTAGTAATATGTATTTAAGTTTCCTCTATTTCTTTTCATGGCTTAATAGTTAATTTCTTTTCTGTTTTCTTTTTCTTTTTCTTTCTTTTTTTTTTTTGAGACGGAGTCTAGCTCTGTCGCCAGGTTGGAGTGCAATGGCACCATCTCGGCTCACTGCAACCTCTGCCTCCCGGGTTCAAGCGATTCTCCTGCTTCAGCCTCCTGAGTAGCTGGGATTACAGGCTCACAGCACCATGCCCAGCTAATTTTTGTATTTTTAGTAGAGATGGGGTTTCACTGTGTTGGCCAGGCTGGTCTTGAACTCCTGACTTCATGATCTACCCACCTCGGCCTCCCAAAGTGCTGGGATTACAAGCATGAGCCACCATGCCCGGCGATAGCTAATTTCTTTTATAGCATTGAATAATATTCCATTATAAACTGGATATATCACAGTTTATCTACTCACCTACTGAAGGACATTTTGGTTGTTTTAAAGTTTTAGTAATTGCAAATATAGCTGCTATAAAGATCCATATGCAAGTTTTTGTGTGGACATACATTTTCAGCTTTTGTGGGTAAATACCAAGGAATGTGATTGCTGAATCATATGGTAAGAGTATTTTTTTAAATAATAAATTGCCTAGCTGTCAAATCAAAATGTCTATAGAATTCTGCGTTTGCACCAGCAGTGAATGAGAGTTCCTGTTGCTACACATCTTTGCCAGCATTTGTTATTGTCATATTTTGGCCATTTTAACGTGTATGTAGTAATATCTCAGTGTTGTTTTAATGTACATTTCCTGATGATATATCATAATGTGGAGCATCTTTTCAAATGTATATACATCTATAAGTCTGTTAAAAACTCTGACCTATATTTTAATTGGGTTGTTTTCTTTTTGTTGAGTTTTAAGAGTTCTTTACATATTTTGGATAATAGTCCTTTATCAGAAATGTCTTTTGCAAATATTTTTCTCCCAGTCCCAGGCTTATCTTTTGATTTTCTTGACAGTGCAGGGTTTTTAATTTTAATGAAATCCAGCTTATCCATTTTTTAAAAATGGATAGTGCCATTGGTATTATACCTTAAAAGTCATCAGCAACGCCAAGGTTGAAGAACAGTTGATTATATTTTGGGGAGTCTTTCTGAGTTTTCATTCTGTTCCATTGATCTGTTTGTCTGTTACTTAGCTGGTTCTAGACTGTGTTTATTACTGTAACCTTAAAGTAAGGCATAAGGTATTTTGGGTAGCATCTGTCCTCCAACTTTGTTTTCCAATATTGTGTTGGCCATTCTTGATCTTTTTCCTCTCCATATAAATTTCAGAATTAGTTGTCAATTTCCACAAAATAACCTGCTAGAATTTTGGTTGGGATGGCATTAAACCTATAGATTGAGTTGGGAAGAGCTAATATCTTGACAATATTGAGTCTGTAGCCATAAACATGGAATATCTCTCCATTTACTTAGTTCTTTGATTTCTTTCACCAAGTTTTATAATTTCCATGTATAGATTATATACATATTTTGTTAGATTTATACCTAAGTACAGTTGGCTCCCTGTATCTGCAATTCTGCATCCACAGATTCAAACAACTAAGGAAACTAGTCAGAAAAAATAAATACATAAAAGAGTAATTAAACACTAAAAATGTAAATAATATAACAACCATTTAAGTAGCATTTACATCATACTATGTCTTATAAATAATCTAGAGATGTTTTAAAGTATATGGTAAAATATATGTAGATTATATAAGGGACTTGAGCATCCATGAATTTTGGTACCCACAGAGGGACCTGAAACCATTCTCCCATGGACAGATACCAAGAGATGACTGTATTTCTTTTTGGGGGTAAGAGGTGCTAATATAATTGATATTGTGTTTTTAATTTCAAATTTTACTTGTTCATTAGTCATGTATAGGAAAGCAATGGACTTTTGTATATTAACTTTGTATTCTGCAATTTTGCTATAATCACTTATTAGTTCCAGAAATTTCTTGGTTGATTCTTTTGGATTTTCTACATACTCATGACATCTGTGAACAAAGGCAGTTTTTTTTTTCTTTACAATCTGTATATCTTTTATTTATTTTTATCTTATTGCATAAGTTAGAGCTGCCATAATGAAACTAAAAAGCAATTGTGAGAGGGGACATCCTTGACTTGTTCCTGATCTTAGTGGGAAAGTATTGACTTTCTCACCATGAATTAGGATGATAACCATTAAGTATAATGTTTTTGGTAAATATTCTTTATTGAATTAAGAAAGTTCAACTCTATTACTAGTTTACAGAGAGCTTTTATATGAATTAGTTTGATTTTGTCAAGTCCTTTTTCCGCATCTATTGATATGATCACGTAATTTTTCTCCATTAGCCTATTAATGTATTAATGGATTACATTAATTGCTTTTCAAATGTTGAACCAATCTTGAACATCTGAGATAAATCCCACCTGGTTGTGGTTTATTATGCTTTTTACGCATGGTTGGATTTGATTTGCTAATACTGTGTTAAGGATTATTACATCTATGTTCATGTGAGATATTTATCTGTTTTTTTCTTTTCTTGTAATGTGTGTCTGGTTTTACGCATTAGGGTATGCTGGCCTCATAGGCTGAGTTAGGAAGTTTTCCTCTGCTTCAATTGTCAGAACAGGACTATACACAATCGGTATAATTTCTATTTGAATAAGATTTTAATTTAATAGCTACAGTATTCATAATGTTATCAGGCATAATTAATAATCAATATTTCCTTGTAACTAATTTGGTACAAATATTCTGATTCGGATTTCTCCTAAAAAAGTAAATTGTAGAGATGGATTATTTAAATTGAAATATTCCTCCATCCATGGCAGTCATCAATTTCTTTAAAACTTATTTTAAGCATAATTTAAAACTTTGTATAGCTCATTTTAAAACTTATTGTTTGTAGTGGGCACTAGTCAATTTTTGGCTACCCAGCATTTGAATTATTTTTGCTGCAGTTTGAAAATGCCCTATCATATGAGTCTTGCTAGAGAGCAGAGCCTACCCCAAACTATCGGACCTGAAATAATACACAGTTGCTTTTCCGGCCTCTAACGTCTCAGCCAATAAGATGCATATTACACAGAAGCTAGAGACTCAAACATAATTTGAAGAGATTTCATTCAAGTGGAATGTGACCAACACGTAATTCCTATAGGTGTTTGTGGCAACAATAGCAAATATGATGTTACTATTCTGTGCCAGCAACATCAGAAGTAAAAGCTGTACAAGTCTTCAAAAGTGTTATCATCAAAGTCCTTCTTGCCCATTTCTGCCATACATGATTTTAACTGTGACTGTGTTTCTGTGATTCCCATATCACTCTTCCTTTTTTAATAGTCACTCATTTTGTTAGCAATACAATATCATTTTAACAAATTTCAGGCAGTCAAAGTTGATTGGTATTGCTAATACACAGTTAATACATAAACAAAGTAAAAAGAAATACACATTTTTTATTTCAGAAAAATAAGATGCTAACTCTAAAGTAGGATACATGAAAAGGAAAAATAGAAAACTGAAAGAAAATGTACAATGGCATAAAAAATCTGCTGTAACTAGTTGGCTACAGAATAACATAGAAACAATAATCATTTTTATTTATGAAGAACTATGTTCCAGATGCTGTGCCAAGTACGGTACTAACATCTCATCTAATTGTAAAAGCAAGCTATGAAGTAGTATTACGGGAGTTATTAAGAAATTATTTGACCAGGCGCAGTGGCTCACGCCTGTAATCCCAGTACTTTGGGAGACCAAGATGGTCAGATCACCTGAGGTCAGGAGTTCGACCCCAGCCTGGCCAACGTGGCGAAACCCCGTCTCTACTAAAAAAATGCAAAAATTAGCTGGGGATGGTGGCATGCACCTGTAATCCCAGCTACTCAGGAGGCTGAGGCAGGAGAATTGCTTGAACCCAGGAGGTGGAGGTTGCAGTGAGCCGAGATCCACTGCACTGCAGCTTAGGTGACAGAGCAAGACCCTGCCTCAAAAAAAAAAAAAAAAAATATTATTTCAGGCAGCTAGAAAGGGTAAAAGAGTCAAAGAGTCCTCAGTAAGGCTTTTTCTTTTAATAAAAACATTTCTAACAGAAAGCGGCTGGAAAAAAAACAGACTTGCAAGCATTGATTTGCAAGCCACAGGCTTGCATACGTAAATGCAGGCTGTCAAGAGTCAGGTCCACCCAATGTGGTGATTCCTGCTCCCTTCCCTTCCCTTCCCTTCCCTCCCCTCCCCTCCCCTCCCCTCCCCCCTCCCCTCCCCTTCCCTCTCCTCCTTTCTTTCTTCTTCTTTTTTTTTTTTCTTTCAGAGTTTCGCTCTTGTCGCCCAGGCTGGAATGCAGTGGTGCAATCTTGGCTTACTGCAACCTCCACCTCCTGGGTTCAAGCGATTCTCCTGCCTCAGCCTCCTGAGTAGCTGGAATTGTAGGTGCACACCACCACGCCCGGCTAATTTTTGTATTTTTAGTTGAGATGGGATTTTGCCATGTTGGCCAGGCTGGTCTCGAACTCCTGACCTCAGGTGATCCGCCCACCTCGGCCTACCAAAGTGCTGGGATTACAGGCATGAGCTACTGCGCCCAGCCTCCTGCTCCCTTTTCTTTGTCCCCACATGTGCAGGTGTCATGGCACAGCCAGGTAGAAGCCTCATTTGTATAATAAAAGGTTAGGCTTGGAGGGCCAGTCTTTTTGCTATGTGAATGACACACCTGGTCAAATCAATCCCGTTTGCCCTGTTTGGGCTCTATGCAATCAGACACCACCTCCTCAAGCCTCTCAATATAACCAACTGCTCCCCCCTGCCCCTTACTGCCCCCCCAACCCCCTACCTGTCCTCCTGCGCAAGGTGTGTTATTCTGTTTGGAGCCCTCCTCCCTCTGTGCCAGGGAGCTGTTCTCTTCCTTCTTGCATATTAAACTTTCTGCTCCTTAATCCACTCCATGTGTGTGTCAGTGTCACTAATTTTCTTGGTGCGAGACAAAGGACCCTGGGTGTTTCCCCAGACAATGGAGCCATTTCAGTAGGTTTTAATGTTGCAGATATAGGTGAGAAAACGAAGGCTTATGAAGGTCACATAATTGTGTTTTGTCATACGGTGAGTATAAAGAACATATGTGAACATGAGTCTACTTGATTCTAAAATCCAAGCTCTTAACCTTTATAATAATACCACTGTGCACTTATAGTTAAATTGTTTTTTTGGTTTCTGTTTTTTTTCTTTTTTTTTTTTTTTTTTTTGAGACGCAGTCTCATTCTGTCGCCCAGGCTGGAGCGCAGTGGTGTGATCTCGGCTCACTGCAAGCTCCGCCTTCCAGGTTCACACCATTCTCCTGCCTCAGCCTCCTGAGTAGCTGGGATTACAGTTGCCCGGCTAATTTTTTTGTTACACCACACCCGGCTAATTTTTTTGTATTTTTAGTAGAGATGGGGTTTCACCATGTTAGCCAGGATGGTCTTGATCTCCTGACCTCGTGATCCACCCGCCTCAGCCTCCCAAAGTGCTGGGATTACACGCGTGAGCCATGCGCCCGGCCTTTATAGT
The DNA here is from genome assembly GCF_000001405.40 of Homo sapiens. Taxonomy (NCBI): domain Eukaryota; kingdom Metazoa; phylum Chordata; class Mammalia; order Primates; family Hominidae; genus Homo; species Homo sapiens. Next base: position 188,218,829 of record NC_000002.12, read on the forward strand.
TAAATTGTTAATCACTATGATTGTATATAGGCAGGTTATTGTTACACTTATCAACAATAGTTATAACAACAAATCAAATACTAGAAATAAGAAACTTAATTCAAGTTTTGCTTGAGGGTCTAGAATTTAAGTTATATTCTCACAAAAGAATTCCTTTCAATTCTCCAAACAGCCATTTTTGTATGTTCATTGGTAATTCTTGATAAAATAATACAGTATAATGTATTAAAAAACAGTAAGGGGATAAACACTCTGTGGTTCCCCTGTGTATGTGTTAATAAAATCTATATGCCTTTTCTCCAAAGAACTGAAAACAAAACAGTACATTGTAAGTTTTCATCGAATAGATTTATGATGCAATAAAAAAGCAATTGAGTAAATTATTTCTGTTCTCCAGCTTAATACATATGTTGGTTTTACAGAAATACATAAATTCTCAATCAATCAAAAGTTAGAAAATTTAAACATCACTCATTTTTCTTGGTCCATATGAAATGTCTTTCATCTTTTTTTTTTTTTTTTTGAGACAGGATCTCACTCTGTTGCCCAGGCTGAAGTACAGTGGTGCAATCATAGATCACTGCAGCCTCAACCTCCTGAGCTCAAATGATCCTGCCTCTCCAGCCTCCCCAGTAGCTGGGACTACAGGCATGTGCTACTATGCCCAGCTAATTTTTTTATTTTTTTTTTTTGTGGAGACAGGGTCTGACTACGTAGCCCTGGCTAGCCTCAAACTCCTGGCCTCAAGTGATGCTCCCATCTTAGCCTTCTAAAAAGCTGGGATTATAGACATGAGCCACTGTCTGGCCCTCTTGCATCTTGGTGTTATCTCCACACCCAGGCTCAGCATAGTGAAACACACAGAGTTGTTTTGCCTGTGTTCTGCCATCACTCAGCTTGATCCTGGAAAGTAGTCAGAAATGTCAAATTTAAGACAAAACTAAAGTTAGAACTGTAGGTTTTGCCTCTGTTCTCCAGACTGCATAACTCTCTTGTCAACTGTTTCCTATATTTAAAATCAGCCAACCAAAATAGGTGGAATCATTCTTGGTAATACTGTTAGCAATCATGACTAGGGAACAAAGCCCTGCTACCTTAGAAAATCCAGCCCTTGCTGTGTGATGAAGACCCTTCCCTTACAAGAGAGCACAAGTGCAAATATTCAAGGAATCTATTCCAATTAATCTCTATTACTATAATGATTTTAGACTCATTATGTTGGAAAGAAGCCATGAAGAATGGAGTGGGGCATGGTCCTCACAGGGCCACAACAATAACTGAGGGTGAAGGCTCAGGCTCCCTGGAGAGATCGACTGGAGGGGATCAAAGCCAACTGACCCTCAGTGACAAATGGACAGTAACCATTGACCCTTGTAATTTATATTTAGCATTCCTAGTACATACAAATGTGATAATCAGGTACAGAAGCTAAAAACACATTTTCCCTTTTTCTAAAAGAAAAAGATGAATGCTATCATATACAAATTACGGTAGGTTTCCCAAATATCAATTTTTTAAACATCTTTTTCTAAGGAAAATTTATCACAATTTCCAAAACATTATTTTTCTTTGTTCATATGCTTTGAATGTAATCTATATTTGGATGTGCAAAATGTATTACCTTAATGCTGCCTCCTGAGTGATAAATCTTCAGAATCAGCCACATGAATATGAGAAATAAATGAGTTTGGGATTTTTGGTTTTCGCGTTTTTGCTCTATAATAAAATCTTGTTTAATTTTGGTACTTAACCATTAACCTTATTCAACAGACATGAATCTTATTGACACAGTTGTTTAAAAAGTCAAATTCATCTTTAAAGGGCAAAGTTTGGTTGCCACGAACACTATCCAATAAAAAGAATCCTAGATGTGAAGAGAAATCCACAGGTGGCACCAGGAAAACAATTGTTGCATATACAGTTTTTGTTCAGCTACATTTGAAGACTATTTCCTAAACTGGAATGGTTGGGGTTGAAAACACATGTACCTAGAAATTATGCTACATGTATTCATAAGGACTGTATCATGAACATGAAAATCAACAGAATGGTCATTAACATCTCTGATTCCAAAAGATAACCAGTGTCATCTATCATATTGTAATGATGTTTATTTCACCTGAGAGTTTTTCCAATAAGCCTTGGAATAAGAAAAGTCCTTTAGGAGAGGACTTTCTTCTCTGTGTTCTTAGAAATCTGTCCTTTCCAACTGGTAAACTTCACATTCATTGTTTAGTTGTTACAAATTAATTTTGCTACTTGTCATTTCAGAGTTTTCTTTTCTTACAGGCGTTTCAAGCATCTAGTGTTTAATTTTCTTATCAAACAGTCACACATATAAACCTATTTATTCTGTCTCAAATCTTTGTTTTCTATATTTAATATATGAATGAGTATGAGTGTGTATGCATGTGTGTTTGGGCAGGTGAGTAGGTGGTTGTGTGTGTGAAGGTACTTTTATGTGATAAATATAAGCTTCTAAAGGGAAATGTTCTGACTCATAAAATTTATACAGGGATTTCAAATTCTATTTCTTATTATGCGTGTCTGAATCTATAAATTGTTAAAATCTATTTAATATTTTTGCAAGGGAATACATTTTCTGCTACTTTTCTTTGTTGCAGAAATAACTTACCACTTCAAGCACAGTTTTCCTGTGTTTCTGTTTGTTTAGGTTTAGGGCTTGGGTGGGAGTTCCTTGTATTGTGTGGTTTTCTAAAAGCAGAATATAATGTTTTTGTATAGTTCTATTAAACTGAAATCAAGAACTCTATGGTATGAGTAAAATTTGAAGGTGATTCTAATTCAATTCTTTATGTAGTCAAATCCCAATGTCACCACATTTGAGTAATCCAACTTACTGTTTTTTTCATAGTGAGTTGAATTAATATTGAATTGATGATACCTAATTTTGATTTCTTTTTAGCTGTGAAAAAGGACTTTCAATTTTTCTGCCATTCTTCATGTGCAATGACCAAGTCTTTTCTTCACTCTGATCAATTTCTCCAGCCACATTTTAGCATAGGCCCTTCTTAAGAGATAGTTTCCATACATCAACCTGCTTCTCTGAGTGAGAGAATAGAAGTCCTTAACTGGAAGAATTAAAACAAAACAAAACACCTGAAATCAGTTCTCTTTTTCATAAATTAGAAGGAATGGGTAGGAGTGGCTGGTTTAAAGACTACTGCTGTCTCATCACGACTTCCATTGAGTTGGTCAATAATGACAAATTAATTTTAACAAAGAAACACTTTTCTCACTCATTTTCTCATTTGTATCCCCACTATGGCATTGATATAGCTCAGGCCTCTAACATCTCTCATCTTGGCTGATGCAAAAACTGCCTCATTGGTATCTATTCTTCCAGCCATGCTCCAGCCACCCACACTTCGGCAGTGGCCCACTCCATTTCCATCATCAACACAGCTGTCAGAAGAATCTCCCTAATGTAAATCTAAAAGTGCTACTACTGACTAGCATGTATCAAATACTTGCTATGAGCTTTATCCACATTTCCCAAATTCTCCAAATAGCCCCTCAAAGTAGTAATTGTTATCTTATTCTACGGACAATAATACCAAATTTAGAGAGGGTGGTTAAATTTTCTGAGATCGTACATCTAGTAAATAGAGAAGCTGGCATTTGAACACAGGTCTGTTACATCCAAAAGCCACACTCATTACACTACACTAGGGTCCATCTATTACTTTCCAGCCTCATCAGCTGCCGTTTTCCTCCCCATACAGTGACTTTTAGCAATTTATGTTTTTTTAATTTATTATTCTCTCTCATATTTCTTTTGTTTTTGACCACAGTGCCCTTTCCTTATTTTTGTCTGAAGATAAGTATATGGAAAACAATAATGAAATGGTATGTTTTTCCTAGGGCTTCTGTAACAAACTGGGTGACATAAAACAAAAGAAATTTTATCTCTCAGTTCTGGAGGTTAAAAGTCCAAAATCAAGGTGTTGGCAGAGGCATGCCATCTCTCTGCCTGCTTCTGGACTTTGCCAGCAATCCTGGGGATTCTTTGATTTGCATTTGTATAATTGTTGCCTCTGTGATCACAGTGCCATCTTCCTTCTGTGTGTCTTTGTGTTTCCATGCATTTCTTCTTCTTTTTTATTTTTTTAAGTTCTGGGATACGTATACAGGATATACAGGTTTGTTACATAGGTAAACGTGTGCCATGGTGGTTTGCTGCACCTATCAACCTATCACCTAGGTATTAAGCCCAGCATATATTAGCTGTTTTTCCTGATGCTCTCCCTCCCCTACTGCCACCCCAACAGGCCCCAGTGTGTGTTATTCCCATCCCTGTGTCCATGTGTTCACATTGTTCAGCTCCCATTTATAAGTGATAATGTGCAGTGTTTGGTTTTCTTCTCCTGCGTTAGTTTGCTGAGGATGATGGCTTCCAGCTCCATTCGTGTCCAGGCAAAGGACATGATTTTGTTCCTTTTTATGGCTGCATAGTATTCCATGGTGTATATGTGCCACATTTTCTTTATCCAGTCTATCATTGATGGGTATTTGGGTTGATTCCATGTCTTTGCTATTGTGAATAGTATTGCAATGAACATATCCATGCATATATCTTCATAATTGTCTCTCCTCTTCTTATAAAACCATCAGTCATATTGGATTAAGGGCCCACCCTGTTTCAGCATAAGCTTATCTTAAATTACATTTTAGGTACATCTGCAAAGACCTTATTTCCAAATAGGGTCATCTTCATAGGTACCAGGAATTGGGACTTCAACATGTTTCTGGGGACACAACTCAACCTACCATAAATGGTAACTGACACCAATAATTTTAAAACAACAAATTATAGTTGACATGTGACTAACAAATTCACACTAACTGTCAGCTGTTAAAACTTAGTTGAAGTATTACTTCCCCTTAAGCAACTTCCCTCATACCTCCTCTCCATCTCACATTTTAGGCAGAGATAGATGTCGCCTCCTTAATGCTCTAGGTCCTTATAATATTTCTACCATAATATTAAGACAAGTTATAATTATTTATGTGCCAATATCTCCCCCTCCAGAGTATGAAATCAGAGAATCTGTCTTATTCAGCTTTTTAGCCTTAGCACCTCACATCATGACTAGCATGTAGCAGACATGCACTGTATAGTTGCTTTATTAAATTTATTATCTGACGCATTGTCAAATTGATAGATATCATAATGCCAACAGGTTTCCATTTATTGTGTACTTTTTATATAGCCAGGCATTATCTAAGTATCAAGAATTATGAAAAGTCTGAGAGTATTATTTTTTAACCAGTTAGCCTACCATTGTTTTATAGATGCTGGCAGAAAAGAATAGACTTCAGGGTCACAGATGAAGGACTTTATTATTTATAGCAGAGCAGGAAGCATGAGCCCCAAGTCTGCATCTATTCTTTACCTACCGGGATCTCCAGGGACATTATACTCACATAAGTGCTGCTCATAGAGTCGGTTTGTATCACAACTAAGGAACACCAAGTTTAGAAAACTCCAATGTTTTAAAGAGGGTTGCTAGCAAACTTGCCTAACCTTTGTCCTAGAGGGCGATATCATCTTAATAAAGACAATATTCCTGACCTCTGCCCTGATGGGAGACATTATCTCTGTCTTCCAAGGCTGTTTCCTATACAAACATCATTAAAAAGATAGTCCAGAACAAAAGTTAATACAAGACATGCAGAAAGGCCCTGAATTGTCTCCCAACAATAAGTGTTTTATATCCATCAACTCACTTTCTCTTTACTTATCATATTTCATGCCCCTTTCTAGATAAGCAAACTAATGCAGTTATCTCATGACATAGATATTAAGTTGCGTGACACTTAGTAATTTCATGGGTTTCCTTTGATTTTTTGTTCAGGACATCAGAAAATCGTTACATCTCACTGTTTTGATTTCATGAATGTGTAGTGCTGGGAACTGTTTCATGTTATTTTATCCTCTTCAAAACAACTCTAAAATACAAGTATGCTAGGAATAAAATCTGTGCCTACCTCATTAAGGTGGTGTCAATATTAAATGAGTTAACAAAAGGAAAGCACTTTCTGTAGTGCCTTGCATTTGTTAAGTGCTCAATAAATCATAGATACTATTTTATAGATTGTTAAATGGGGCATAGAATGATTAGATGCTTATACAAAGTGACAAATGTGTAAGTATCAAAGGTGAGATTTGAGTACAACATGTCTAACATCAGGGTTGACTCTCCTAAACACAACAATATGATAGTGTTACTCCTTATACTTGTTATCCTCCTCTTCATGCTGTCTAACACCAGCTCTTCTGTACAATGCTTCATTTCCCTGATAACCTTTCTATCTTGGTTCTAGTTCCCTTTCATTTTTGACCCTTCGCACTGCTTTGTGGATCTCAGTGTAATGATGCCTCTCTGGAAGTCAGATTCTTAGCCTCCACTGACTGTCTCATATACATTGGGCATCTCCAGGGAGGCAGATATGGCACACCATATGCTGGACACTTATACACCTTTCCAAGTCTTCATACCCTTTGTTAGAAAAGGCTTTCAAATGCAGTGATTCTCAAGCTCCTGGGTGCAGCCTCGGTGTGGTATGAAATACATAGAATGTATCAGAAACAGTAATGAAATAGACTGCAGTGAGACAAAACTGAATAAAATGGAGAATGTTAGAGTGCATCATACATGAGAAAGGTAAATAGTGTCCTTGTGTGTGTCTGTGTGTGTACATGCGTTACCTGGTCCCAATAGAAATTGTCAAAGGTTTGAAAGCCACTTCTTCAGTAAAATTACATATGCAGAAATCTGCCTACTGGTAAAACCTCTTCACTCTAGAATCTAAATATCTGATCTAAATATTTTGTTATTATTATTTATTATTATTATATTTCCTTTTCAAACTCTTTTTAGGCTACGGTAGACAACTTGCCATCAAATTACTATCAACTACATTACTCTAACCTACTTTTCCCCCAGTATTGTTGCCCACTGGGAATTTTTCCAGTAGGCAGTCTACCTGATAGCATTTTAGAGTCATGCACATATCTCCAACATCCTACATGATCAAGGAATATCGATTGAGGTTCTAACACAATTAATTTGGCTCAACCATTATATTGTCTTATTTAGTCTGAGAAATATCTTAGTATTAATAAGAATAAGTCCATTTTCTTTTTTTCCTAGATATAAACACATACAATGTTCATGCTAATAAAAAACTCTTCTCCAAGGATGACCATATCTCTATGTTGTTCACACTCAGTCGGCTTCTTATTGAATTTTCTTGTAATGTACTCATATATTGGGATCTATCTTTCAAACACATTTCCTTAACTTTAATTAATAATCAATTAGAAATTATTAATTAGTCTGTCATTTATCTGATTTTTTCAATGCAAATGTCTCCTTTGATGGAAGACCCATATCTTCCAAACCGGTATCTACCCCCCAAAAATGGGAGACTCAAAATAATGCAAGGCATGGTGCCTACTCAAGAACTCACAAAGCATCCTAGAAATGGAAACTTTATTAAAATGAAAAAAAAAAGAGAGTTCACAAAGCATAATACATGAGACTCCATAATGGATAAAACTATACACTTTGGTGGTGTTAGGAGCTGGATTATGTCTTCCCTCAGAATTCATGTGTTGAAATCTAACCCACAGTGCCTCAGTATGTGACTATATTTGGAGATAGTCTTTAAAGATGTTTCTAAGGTAAAATGGAGGTGATTCATGTAGGCCCTAATCCAATATGGCTGGTGTATTTATAAGAAGTGATTAGGACACAGACACACACAGCAAAAAGACAACGTGAAGACACAGAATGAAAATGGCCATCTATAAACTAAGGAGAGAGACTTCAGAAGAAACCAACCCTGATGCCGCCTTGATCTCAGACTTACAGCCTCCAGAATTGTGATAAATAGATAGATAGATAATCATAATCAATATGTAGATACACAGATTCTTTTTAACAATTCACTACTGAATGTCATTAGGAGATATGGCAAATTGCAGACTGAAGCAATAAATTATGATGTATTCTCTTACAGAAGCCAAAAACTGAAATAAGGAGAATACTAATTTAAAATTCAAATTAAGTTTGGGGGATGGTGTGTGCCCTGATGGGGTGCGCTGAGCGAGCCAGGAGGCACGGAGTCACTGCAGAGCGCAGGGTTTCTTGACCACGTGGACAATGTAAATTTGAATTCTAGATCCAAGTAAGAATAAGGAAGTGGCACCCAATCCTCTGAGTTCTGATCTCCCAGGCTTGGCCTACAAGTTTTTTTGTTTGCTTTCCTGTTGCATCTTTGATACCATTTCCTAGAGGCTGCTCCATGATTTAACTTGAAATTCTGAAACAAAGATAGAGGAGGCAGTGGGAAAACTCGAATAACTCATTGAGTCTGAAGTCCCACCAAAAACATCTGAACAAGAGACAGCGAAGGAGGAAGATGAATCTGTAGAACTGGAATCTCAAGTTCAGAAAGACGGTGTAGCAGATTCTGCAGTTCTTTCTTCAATGCCCTGCTTGTTGATGGAGCTGAGAAGAGACTCTTCTGAGTCTCAGCATCCACAGAGAGTGACAAGCCTACAACTGGCCAAGTTTATGAGAGTGACTCCTCTAATCACTGCATGCTTTGCCCTTCTTCTAGTGATCACCTGGCTGATTCAGACACGTTGTCTTCCGCAGAAGAGAATGAACCCTCTCAGGCAGAAACAGCGGTAGAAGGAGACCCTTCAGGAGTGTCTGGTGCCACAGTTGGGCGCAAGTCTAGGAGGTCCCGATCTAAAAGTGAAACATCCACTATGGCTGCCAAGAAAAACTGGCAATCCAGTGATAAACAGAATGGGTTAAAGGTCATTGGAGCCAAAAGCACAAGGAGAGGATCAGGCTACTGAGGCACGAACGGGAGGTTGCTGCAAGCAGTACAACCTGCTGCAGGACAGTAAGTAGTACCAGTGACAGTGACCTGACTTGTGACAAGCACGAGCTCATCAGATGATGATGAAGAGGTTTCAGGGAGCAGCAAGACAATCACTGCAGAGATACCAGATGGACCTCCAGTTGTAGCTCATTATGATATGTCTGACACCAGCTCTGACCCGGAAGTGGTAACTGTGTACAATTTATCGGCGGCTGCAGTAGTTCAAGAGCACAATAATTCTATAGGCGGCCAGGACACAGGAGCTACCTGGAGGACCAGCTGGCTTCTAGAGGAGCTGAATGCAGAGGCAGGTCATTTGCATCCAGGATTCCTAGCAAGTGACAAAATATCTGCCGGCAATGCACCGCTCAATGAAGAAATTAATATTGCCTCTTCAGATAGTGAAGTAGAGATTGTGGGAGTTCAGGAACATGCAAGGTGTGTTCATCCTCGAGGTGGTGTGATTTGGAGTGCTTCTTCGTGGAAGCATGGCTCGGGCACACAGTATCTTAGCACCAGGCAGACACAGTCATGGAACTGCTGTGAGCCCCCAGCAGACTTGGGCTTCACCAGCAGAAGTTATTGACCTTATCTCGGATGAGGATAGCAGGCATAAATACCTACTGTGACACAATGTCACTGTGTTTCTCCTGCACTGTTCCCTTCCAATTCCTCATCTTCTTTGTGTCATGGAAGTTCATTGTCATGGCTTCAGCTTCAGAAGCTGTTTGTGGCATTTGTAGGATTCAAACTCATGGAAAATTCCCTCCTTTCCTCCTCTTCTTAATTAAAAGAAGTCAGGAAAAAAAAGTAAATTAAATTTAAATAACCTGAAAAAAAATGATGGGAGAAACTCCTAAATTTTTACATTCTGGCATTCAGTATAACACTTTTATCCATTTTAGCATCATATAGGCATTTAAAGGGAATTAAATATCTCTGGAACACAAGCAACAAAATTGAAAAAGTTAAACAATTTAATCAATAATGTGTGAAATATACAAAGTTCAAAAAAATTATTGAGGCCAGGCACTGTGGCTACTGCCTGTAATCCCAGCAGTTTGTGAGGCTAAGGCAGGAGGATCGCTGGAGGCCAGGAGTTTGAGACCAGCCTGGGCAACCTAGTGAGACCTTGTATCTACAAAATATAAAAATACATAAAAAATAAAATAGCCCTTGCAAAAAAAACAAAGTATGGAAAAAAGAAAAAAAAACACAGTTTACATAATCTTCTAATTGTAAACTCATTTATTAAAGAAACAAAGGCTTTTTTTCTCTTTTCAAAAAGTTTGCTCCTGTTCATAGCTCGTACCCACTAAGCACTCAGAACACAGAAGAACCCTATAAGCATGCTCTGTGGAGCACAAGAGAACTTTTCTGGATGGAAGAATTGCTATATTAGTTTCCACTGTCTCTATATTAGATGTAAGGAAAAGAAAGCCACCCCAGTCCTTGCACAGCGAGCCACGCAGAATATGCACTAGATGCCTGCAAGTCATAAACTGGAATATGAGACCCTCCATCATCAAGTGTAGCCAGTGTTTCCGGGTTTACTTCTCTCTATTCCTCACCTTCTCTCTAGCTGTGCATCACTGTTTCATTTTCTAGTTCCTTGCTTTTTTCAGTGTTGGCTTTCTGTCCTCTTCCTACTTATACCTTTTTCTTCATCCAACACCCTATCATCAAAGTCACCACTCTCCACTCCGCCAAGATTTTGCTTTCAAACCCCTCTGTGAAAACTTTTTGATTTTCTCAAGCCATATATAAATCATTGCAAGTTCATTGCACTAGGCGTACACATTTTTTATTTAATCTTTTCTACGTCTTAATGGAGCAGGCAGTAAATATTAAATGAAATATCACATGTAAAAATGCATGGCAATGGCTGAAGCTTAGTGGGCATTCAGTAAACATCATTAATATGATGATGATGTCTTAATCCATCTCTTATTCTCTGCTTAGCATAGTGTTCTGTACATGGCTGATCCTCAATAGATATTTATAGGCTATGTTATAGAAACACATATCTTGTCCAGAGACTCAAAGGTGAAAAAGTAATGTTTTTAAAATTTTATTATTTCAAAGTTTCTTTTCCCCCCAAGTGGTTGATATGTACTTTCAGTCAAATTGACTTTTTCTATCCTTTTCTGAAGCAATGAAAGCAGAATACTTAGCTGTTGAGAGAAAGGTAGGGTAACTGGTAAAATATATTAGTTAACACATTATTATCCTACTACAAGTGATTATAACTCATTGATTTATTTTCTGAACACTCCATTTAACATTGAATTGATGAAATTTTAACAATTATAGGAGGCCTTCCCTGGGGAAAGGAAGAAAATTTTTCCTATTTATAAATTCTCCTCATAAAAAATTTTTCTTGTGTATACCTTTAGAGATACCTTAAGAATTTCACAACCAGATATAAAATATGGTTTACTCTTTTTGGAGAGTTATTAGGAAAAGATAGTTATGGCCTGGGAAAAGAAAAAGTAGTAAAATAATGCATAATAAGTACTGATTTTGCCACAAAGGCTTGATACAGATTAATAAAAGTGAAACAAAGCAAACCTTGGCCTCAAAATTATATTATTGTAGTATCTATAAGGACCAAAACCAGCTCGGTCGGTGTCTCACGTGTCCATGTGAAGAGACCACCAGACAGGTTTTGTGTGAGCAACAAGGCTATTTATTTCACCTGGGTGCAGGTGGGCTGAGTCCGAAAAAGGAGTCAGCAAAGGGTGGTGGGATTATCATTAGTTCTTATAGGTTTTGGGATAGGCAGTGGAGTTAGGAACAATGTTTTGTGGGCAGGGGGTGGATCTCACAAAGTACATGCTCAAGGGTGGGGAGAATTACAAAGAACCTTCTTAAGAGTTGGGGAGATTACAAAGAACCTTCTTAAGGGTGGGGGAGATTACAAAGTACATTGATCAGTTAGGGTGGGGCAGAAACAAATCACAATGGTGGAATGTCATCAGTTAAGGCTATTTTCACTTCTTTTGTGTATCTTCAGTTGCTTCAGGCCATCTGGATGTATATGTGCAGGTCACAGGGGATATGATGGCTTAGCTTGGGCTCAGAGGCCTGACAGTCAGGGAGACCCTAACCCAGCAGTACTAGAGGAATTAAAGATACACACACAGAAATATAGAGGTGTGGAGTGGGAAATTAGGGGTCTCACAGCCTTCAGAGCTGAGAGCCTCGAACAGAGATTTACCCACGTATTTACTGACAGCAAGCCAGTGATAAGCACTGTTTCTATAGATTATAGGTTAACTAAAAGCATTTCTTACGGGAAATAAAGGGATGGGCCGAAATAAAGTGATGGGTTTGGCTAGTTATCTGCAGCAGGAGCATGTCCTTAAGGCATAGATCACTCATGCTATTGTTTGTGGTTTAAGAACACCTTTAAGCTGTTTTCCGCCCTGGGTGGGCCAGGTGTTCCTTGCCCTCATTCCGGTAAACGCACAACCTTCCAGTGTGGGCATCATGGCCATCATGAACATGTCACAGTGCTGCAGAGATTTTGTTTATGGCCAGTTTTGGGGGGCCTATTCCCAACAAACAAGGATGGAGGTAAGATGCCTTTTAGAGGAACCAAAACAAATAAGATGAGACTAAGGAAAGCAAGACTCAGCTAGTATAAAAGGAAGAAATTAATCAAAACCTATTTGGATATGGAGGCAGAATTCAGCATTTTCTAAGGCAACACTAGAAAACCATGAAACATTTGGATGGAGGAAAATGAAACAAAATGTACTTTTATTGTTTTCACAAAATACATTTTAGTATGCATATCTGTAGCAAAGTCAAACACTATTACAAACATCTCATTCAAATTAAAGAGTACTGAGAATCTAAAAATTATTTTTAAGAAAGTAAGGGATAGTAGTAAATAAATATTCAGATTACTATTTTTGCTATATAAGATATGTAAAATATTGTTGCTATTGTCTGTATTTTATGTGCCAACTATATTGTTTTATTTTAATGGAGGTAAAAATACACAGAATATGTACATACAGGTCACTCCAGATTTTTGTCTCTAGCACATTTTTCAAAAGAGTATGAAGATCCTTAACCAAAATTCTTCTAACCAGAAGGTATTTATTTATTTTTTATTTTTATTTTTTGAGACGGAGTCTCACTCTGTCTCCCAGGCTGGAGTGCAGTGGTGTTATCTCAGCTTACTGCAACCTCTGCCTCCAGGGTTCAAGCTATTCTCCTGCCTCAGCCTCCCAAGTACGTCGGGTTACAGGCGTGAGCCACCACACCCAGCTAATTTTTGTTTTGTTTTGTTTTTTAGTAGAGGCAGTTTCACCATGTCAGCCAGTCCGGTCTCAAACTCCGACCTCAGGTGATCCATCTGCCTCGGCCTCCCAAAGTGCTGAGAATACAGGCATGAGCCACTGCACCCAGCTCACCAGAGGGCATTTTAAAGACCCTATCCTCAAGTATAGGGAGGAACTATCACCTAGGATTGAACAGAATTGAAAACAAAATTTTTTTCTGAGAAAATGCAATTTAATTTTTACAGTTAGTATTTAAATAAAATAGAAAATGATGCCATTATTGTTGTGACAACTCAAGAAGTCTACAAATTGTCACATGTATCTACTTACTATTTTATGTTTTACCTTCTTTTTTTTTCTATTTCTGAGTCTAAAAACAACAGTATCTTTAAGATCATACAATGCCTTCCTCTTAACATTTATGACATCATTTGAAATAATATTATGCAAACTCAACAGCTTTCTCCTAAATGCTATTAGCTTTATCCTAAGTCATTTCTTTGCTATCATATAAATGTAATTCTTCACCTGCTAAAATAATAATTTGTCATCTTATTTAGAAGGTTAAAAAATGAAGAATGAGCAGACAAAATTGTAGGAGGGATTATACCTTAGTAAGTATAGCTAAGTGGCTGGATTTACCTATGTAACTATAGGTACAAAGATATCCCTAGCATTCATAATTCAAATTTTCTACTCACGGTTTTAGAGTTTGCTAATTTACTTTGAGTGCCTTTATTAGTTAATAACATCTAAAGTTTAGTGAACTCTTGCTGTATGTCAAACATTTTGTCTGCATTATCTCATTTAATCCTCATAATTCCCCAAGAATTACTCTATTTAAAAAATAATAAAACTATGATAAAAAGAAGGGTTACTTTGCCAATGTCATATAGACAGGAAGCTGGGGAACTAGATTCTGAGCCCAGGTCTGTCTGATGACAGAATTACGGAATTCAGAATCCATATTCCTCTATACTCTCTAGAATTTCTCTAGAGTCTTTCATTCCCAAGTGACAATAATCTAAACCAGCTTTTAAAAAGGAAGAATGGGAAGAGTGTTACTGGCTCAGGGAACCAAATCAAAGAGATGGTAAAATTTATCTCAAAGGCAAGTAGATTTTGTGCCTGAAGCAATGCCAGAACTTTCTGTCCCTTATCTATGACTCTATCAGATATTCCATTCTTTCCTATAGATGAAATTTTTCCCTTCAGGGGATTACCAGTGGACACACTGGTAGGCAATGGTTGTGGTCTAAGTATCACCAAAGAAATGAACACTTTCTCAGGAAAGTAGAAAATTGGATTAGAGGAGAAACCAGTATTAGGTGGAACCAGTCATTTTGAACATCAAAAGAGGCCCAGAGGGTAGTGGTAGAGGCAACCTAGGTGACAAAAGTCACCTAGTTAATACCTGAGTTAATACACGGGTATTGGAACCTCCTAACTGTGTGATGTTAGCAAATGACTTGGCTTCACTTAAGTATCAATTATTTTGTTATCTGAAAGAGGTACTGTAAGAACTAAAATAATTAATGCATAAAATATAATCTTAGTAACAATCTATGGAGTTCGGATGAACACGAGGATACTGAAGAAAGGCTAATAATTTGATGCATATTTAAACAGATAATCTTCAAATATTTATTTAGCCTTTACTGAATTGTTGAATTGGGATAGGGTAAGCATTGTGGGCCACTTCAAGTTCAAATTCAAAAATTTGGATTTACTGCATGCATTAAAATAACACATTACTAGCTTATTGAAATTGTCTTTCAATTTTGTTCACTTCTAGACTAGAACATTAATATAGAATGTGATCTGAGAGACCAAAGTAGACATCTCTTTGCCAACTAAGACAGACCCTAAAGTTAAGGAAATAGGGTTCAGGGCTCCGCTGGCGTGGCAACTTGCTAAATTTCTATGGCCACAAGAAAGACCACACTCTTGCTAAACACCTTAACAACAGGAGCTATCAGCCAATTGTCAGACCCTTCCTAACTAATTTAGAACCCAGGCCACTACAACTCTGACTGGGCAGAGGACCTTACAAACATTCTCTCCTGATAAGCAACTGCAGACCTCAAGACAGTTTTGACCAGCTTATAAAATTGCGCACAAACTGTCTTTGTGTCCTATAGTTCACCTTCTGATGTAAATAATCAAATTCTACCTCATTTTAATGCTAAAATCCCACCCCAAAGTAAACACAGGATGTATGTTACCTATACATTTATCCATTTGTGCATGTGCTCAACTCTCCTCATATCATGTATAGCTTTTCCACTAAACCTGATTAATATATATGACTATTTTGTAATATATACAAAATATATATGTATATATAAATGTATATATGTACAGACCCTGTGAGGCATAAAAGCCAACCTGCCCTTTCCCTTTTCGAAGAGAGAGCACCTTCAGTTCACATCAGAGACTGTCTCTCCCTAGTTTGCAAATTGATATCACCAATAAAACCCCCCTTTCTACTATTTAGCCATCTGGTAGTCTTTTGGATGACAGGAGTTAAATTTTTTTATCCCTAAGGAAAAAGACTACAAAATGCATTGTTTGTTTTCAGAATGTCAGCTGCCTGCAATTGCTAAGTTTCTGTCACTGTCAGCTGGCTGTTTTCAGAATTAGTGGCAGAAAGTAGAGCTGTAATATGTAATTTTTGTATCACTTAAATATTCAATTAATAAAGTTCAGCATTGTGAGATGTGTTTTTGTTATTATTTCCAATTAAGCAACTTGTCTACAATTTAGAAGGAGCAGGTCGGCGTTACATTTTGCTAGCTACATGAGGATGTGTGTGTCAGAGGCGTGTGAACCAGAGCAACTCCATCTTGAATAGGAGCTGGGTAAAATGAGGCTGAGACCTATTGGGCTGCATTCCCAGATGGTTAAGGCATTCTAACTTACAGGATGAGATAGGAGGCCAGCAAAAGACATAGGTCATAAAGACCTTGCTGATAAGCAGGTTGCAGTAAAGAAGCCGGCATTACACCACCAAAACTAAGATGGCCACAAGAGTGACCTCTGGTCGTCCTCACTGCTACACTCTCACTAGCACCATGACAGTTTACAAATGCCATAGCAATGTCAGAAAGTTACCCCATATGGTCTAGAAAGGGGAAGCATGAATAATCCACCCCTTGTTTAGCATATCATCAGGAAATAACCATAAAAATGAGCAAACAGCAGCCCTTGGGGCTGCTCTGTCTATGGAGGAGCCATTCTTTTATTCCTTTACTTTCTTAATAAACTTGCTTTCACTCTATGGACTTGCCCCTAATTCTTTCTTGTGTGAGTTCCAAGTGAGGGTTCTTGGAACTCAGGATCAGTTCCAAGAGAGGATCAGGACCCCTTTCCTGTAACATCTTTCTGGTGACCACAGAAGGGACTACAGTGTGGAAATCCCCAGTAAGTGGTGGAGTACTATAACATCTCTCTGGCGACCACAGAAGCAACCACAGTGTGGAAACTCCTGACTCAAAGTCTAACTTTGGGTAAATGGTGGGGTATGGTAACATCTTTCTGGTGAATCACAGAAGGGACGATACTGAAGAGACCCCTGGCCCAAAGGAAAATCATTTGCACGCACCAATTGGCTGACTTTGGGTAAGCGAGGTGCATATACTAGGGTAAAGGATGGGCTTGTGTTAGAGGCCCAACGTAGGGGAGTTAGAGTCTCTCTTAAGACAGAGTGGGTTAAAGGCCCCTCTTAAAAAAGACAAGGAAACTTGACCAACCTTGGGTTAGAGACCCAACTTAGGAGGGTTAGAGGCCCCTCTCAGTAAAGTCCCTCTGTGCTAAGAATGGGTTTGGCACTCTGGGACGTTAACTGCTATTCTCTTTGGATCAATCTGCCTTGCAATCTTTGCTGATGGCTATAGGTGACAGGATTAGGCATGTACAGGATCATGGGATATTCTGCTCCCCCAAAAGGAGAAACTTGTGAGTGATGGGACTGCTGAAAAAAATCCCTTCACAACAGCAGCCACCTGAAGTTTTCAGTGTTGTTGCAATGGGTGGGTCTTTGGACTCCTGGAGCGCCTCACCTTTTGGACTCCCCACTTTGGACTCCCTGAGCACTTAGCCTTTTGGACTCCCTGAGTGCCTCACCTTCCCCACCCTGCCTCAGGCAACGCTTTCGCCCACCCCCCTACTCTCTCTCTCTTTTTCTCTGTGCAAACTGGTTGAACAGTAAAATTAACGGTTTATCTCCTACAAAGTTTTAATTAATTGGAAAAAAGAACTTATGAGGCTAGTCCTAAGCTGTAGCAATTTTGATGTGCCTTGTGTGTCTTTCTGTGTGTGTTCTATAATGGAGAAGGAAATCTTAGGATAGAACACAGGCTTAGGACACCTGTAAGCCCACTTTTCAAGACAGCCCAGCAAACCCGACAGTTACAAACTCTGCTGCAAGTCACTGAAAAATACTGGATGAGGTTTCCCTCTTTTTTGTATGTCCTTGGGAGCTTGACCTTGTAATCAAGTGGCAGTACTTTCTCTTGGTCTCTGCCATCACAAAGGCATCCCAGGTTCAGGGTTCAATTTCCCGCTTAGAGGATGAGTCCTTTTTCTTCTGTCTGTCTGTGTATTTATACGTGCTGTGTGTGTTATATAAAAGAGCTTTAATTGGTTTAAAAATAATAAGAGCTTAAATAAAATATTTTGCCAGAAAAGTAAAAAGTATAATGCCTTTTATTTAGTTCATGTGACTTTAGTAATCTTTAGGAAATAAAAACAGCTTTAAAGATTATTGGTAAAATGTAAACATTTGTTCTAAATTATGCAGGTCAGATAGTAAGTTTCCTAATGCTTTAAGTTCATAAACTGCTTCTTTGACTTTTGAAAATTGTTCAATTTACCTTCTTTAGAGACATTAGATTCTAGATAAGGCCTGGGGACATGTGGAGTTAGCCACACTCCCTAGCTATGCTGGAGTCAGCCCTTACCTGCACTTCTGCCTGGTGTGTCCTAGGCTAGGCCCCACACCTACTGCATAATTAGAATCCTGAACTTACCAAGGTTTTCACCAATAGTTAAGTCACCAAGGGTTAACAGTATACCATGTATTTGAGACTACTGAAGAAACAGTTCTACATGCAAGTTGTGTAAGGAAAGTAGAATGTACTTTTGGCAAAAGATTATAAGAAGGCATGGGAATGTGAATTTTTCTTGCCTACATTAAAGGGTTAAAGGATTATTTTAATTTAGTATAAAGCTGAAGGCTTAAGCAAATGGTGGAAGGTTTGTGAAAAATTAATTGTAAAAGAGATTCTGTGTGTAAACATATTGACTAAAGTTAAAGGGGTATTATACAGTTTTTCTGTAAATTATACATTGAAATAAAAGCACAACCGGTTTTTCTTAGAGTAAAAACTTGCTTATAATGCACTCTTTAACAAAAATTTGTAAAGGAAAGGGTTATAAAAAGTTTATCAAAATCTTACCTTATGGTCAAACTAATTAAGATTAAATACATTTGTCTCTAAGGTTTTATTAAAAATTTGGTTTGACATCAATAATGCACTAATGCAACAGTGGCATTTGGCTTACTTGGTATAAAAGTTATACAGGAATCATTGTCAAATATGAAATGGTGTTTGGCTTTTTTTGAGCTGTATTTGTATAAATGCATTATTGGTATATGTTTCAAAATTATGGGAAACTCCTATAATTTTGATATGACTTAGTGTATGTATTAAAAATTGTTACATAAAATCATTGTATGATACAGAGATAACCAAATTTTCTTGTCAATTGTGTCTTTGACTGTTGCTGCCCTAAAACATTTTGTCAGCCACAGACAATTGTTGTCTTGTTTTGGTCCTCTTTAGAAGGCAGTTTTTAGTCAACTATAGAGTTCTATCAGGTGTTCTTAAATGCAGGTTTCTGGTAACTTTGGAGATTATGACATCCGAATAAATGAAAAAAAATTAAGGATTCTCAGGGAGAGCTAAAATATTCATGAATATCAAACAGAACAGTAGTTAACTGCATGGCATAAACTAAATAAGTCTGAAGTAATCTTTGTGATTTTGCTTTAAACATTTCTGATCCTGGCCGGGTGCGGTGGCTCACGCCTGTAATCCTAGCAGTTTAGGAGGCCAAGACGGGCGGATCATGAGGTCAGGAGATCGAGACCATCCTGGCTAACACGGTGAAACCCTGTCTCTACTAAAAATACAAAAAAAAATTAGCCAGGCATGGTGGCAGGCACCTGTAGTCCCAGCTACTCGGGAAGCTGAGGCAGGGGAATGGCATGAACCCAGGAGGCAGAGCTTGCAGTGAGCCGAGATCATGCCACTGCACTCCAGTCTGGGTGACAGAGCAAGACTCGGTCTCAAAAACAAACAAAACAAATCCATTTCTGATCCTTTGTTTTGTTTTTCAGAGTCATGGAAACTTCTATTTTAAGCTATTTACAGCTTTTAACAACTGAGTAATGTATACTTCTGTGAATAAAATTTGAAGCATATTTGTTTCTCTCTACCTGATTTCTCCAAAATTTGGAAACTATTTGTGAGTGTTCTTAATTTATGACAATATAGTTATTTGCATAAGTGCAGTAAGCATCTGTTTGCTGTGATAACAGGACACAATTGAAAAAAACTGGATATTTTACCAAGGCTTTGACTGGAATGGTGTGGTTTCCTTTAAGGAATCAGACTTCACTTGTAAAACCAATAAAAGCCCTTTGGAGAACTGGCCTCATACCTTGCCTACACAATCCCTGTACAGGGTTTCTGACCTGTGATAAGTAAAGAATGTCACTTTCTAACAGGTCTAGGAGCCCTGGGTTATCTTGGTACCCCAAGAGGAGAGGAATTTTCCCAACTCATAGTTATTTGAGGGTACAACCCCATGGCAGGGCTCAGCGCTAAAAAAAAGTCTCATCTAAGATTCCTTCTAAGGAACAGAGTTCCATCAAAGCCAATTTCAAAAAAGCTTATGTAAGAAATAATTATTCTTCCTGCACTTTTACAAATAATTAGGCCAAGTATAATAAAATAAATCTGTCCTATCATGATTTGTCTTTAGTAAAAATGGGAAACTGGAGAGAGGAATTATGTTTCAAAAACTATGACACACTTGTTATTAAATTCTAGTCTCATGAGTTGTTTTTAAGTTTGTTTTTGCAATTTAGGTTAACCCTGCTTATTCCTGTGAACCAACCAGTGATTTCTGGATGCTATTCAGAAGAAACAAGAGGGATAAGTGATGTAAAAATCTGGATCAATATTCTAATCTTGGGCATATTGGAATCAGCTAGCAACCTCATATCAGCTTAGTTCCAACAGTTGCTCAGTTCATGGAAAGCCTTCTAATCTAGTTTACTTGGAATAATTTTACTCATTTTGTTTACTCTTGTGGAATATACTGCTGTTGTACTCTTTGTGTAGGAATGCAGGACAAGCTTACTGAATGTTTTCTTAAATTGAACACTTATTAATCTTCCAGATATTATCTTTTGTCTGAACTGGGAGTTATGAATGGCCCTCACCATACCAATGCTTTCTGACTGAGCTCCCCTCTACCCTGAAAATAAGAGACCCTAATAGTTAGGCAGGAATATGATTGCCCCTATTCAGCCTGAAGTAGTTACAGAAGATGGAGCTTTGTCCCTCTGCAACCCTTAGGATTAACAGTTGTCTTATAAAAGTGGCGAGGGTAGGGGGAGTGGGGGATGGGGGCATGGTGGCTCATGCCTGTAATCCAAGGAGTTTGGGAGGCTGAGGGGGTAGGATCACCTGAGGTCAGGAGTTCAAAACCAGCCTGACCAACATGATGAAACTCCATCTCTACTAAAAATACAAAAATTATCTGGGTGCGGTGGCAGGTGCTTGTAATCCCAGCTACTTGGGAGGCTGAGGCCTTGAACCTTGAACCTGGGAGGTGGAGGTTGCAGTGGGCTGAGAACTTGCTATTATACTCCAGCCTGGGCAACAAGAGCTAAACTCCATCTCAAAAATAAATAAATAAATAAATAAAAGAAAGGGATGGGGAAAATCTCAGAGGCATGTGAACCAGAGCAACTCCATCTTAAATAGGAGCTGGGTAAAATAAAGCTGAGACCTACTGGGCTGCATTCCCAGATGGTTAAGGCATTCTAACTTACAGGATGAGATAGGAAGCCAGCACAAGACATAGGTCATAAAGACCTTACTGATAAACAGGTTGCAGTAAAGAAGCCAGCATTATACCACCAAAACTAAGATGGCCACAAGAGTGACCTCTGGTCGTCCTCACTGCTACACTGTCATCAGCGCCATGACAGTTTACAAATGCCATAGCAATGTCAGGAAGCTACCCTATGTGGTCTAGAAAGGAGAGGCATACCCTACAACTAACGGGGAGTTACCCTATATGGTCTAGAAAGGGGATGATATGTTTAGCATATCATCAGGAAATAACCATAAAAATGAGCAACCAGCAACCCTTGGGGCTGCTCTGTCCATGAAGAAGCCATTCTTTCATTGCTTTACTTTCTTAATAAACTTATTTTCACTTTACTCTATGGACTCACCCTGAATTCTTTCTTGTGTGAGTTCCAAGACCCCTCTCTTGGGGTCTGGATCAGGACCCCTTTCCTCTAACATGTGGAGAAAGAGTATGGACATTTGAGTTAACTGAAACCATAATCCCATTTTTTTCCAATCATTGTGAGTGCCCTTCTTAAGATTGATAATCTACACATACCTGGCTGATTCACCTCTAAATCTAGTTCTGTCTACTTTATGGGTGGAAGTAGGTGAAATAATTCATGTAAAGATTTTAACACTGTAACTGTAACAGGTCTGTTGCCCGATGCACAAGGCAAGTAAATACGCAATACAACAGAGAAACAGGTTTAATCATAGGGCCACCAAATGAGGAGACAGGAGGAAACCTTAAATCCATCTTCCTGAGGAGTTTGGGGCTGGGGGGTTTTCAGGGTTTTAGAGGGCAAATGTATAGAGATTGTTGATTGATCCAAGAGTGCAGGGTGAAGTGATGGGACAGGGAGATGAAGAAACTGTAGTATGCTGATTCTGTTTCTTGGTGGGGGTCTTTAAACCAGTTGGCACCAGCTATTTCACTGGAATTTGGAATCTGAAAAGCATCTTAAACAATTCTTAAACAAAAGACATATGATTCTAATGTCAGAAGTCCTACCTATATTAAAGAAAAACCTTATGATTCTAAAGTCAGAAATCCCATCTATAGAAACAAAGGGAATGCAAATGTCAGTATCTAGTGCTACATGACTTTTGGTTACAGGAAGTGGGTCAAAGTGAAGCCTGATAAATGCTTAATTATATTTCTTTCCAGAATTCTCATTAACCCTGCAAGGTGATTTCAACACAGTGTTTGCTCCATAAATAGTAATCATTTTTACCTGTATTTATCCATATTTACCCATAAATATTAACTATGTATAATACGGATGTTTGAGGAGTGAGGAAGAGGCAAGTAAGGAAGAATTCAGGAAGAGGCTTCTGAGAGGAATAAGAACAAATTAGACTTCTTTGAAGTTTTGCCTGTTTTGTGGTGGCAGTCAACATGATCCACAAAACAAGTTGCATCAGACTTCCACTACTTCAAGTTTTCTATAAGAGCCATCATTCTAAAATGCATATAAGATCATGATCATCCTGAACTGGTTACCTTTAGCCAACAGAATAAAATCCGAATGGCTTAGAAAGGCTTCTATTGAACCTGAATTAATCTACAAATTTAATGCACTCCTAATTAAAATCTCGGCAGAGCTTTTCTGGGAGCTTGATGGGTTGATTTAAAACATATATTGCAGAACAAAACGGCCAAAAAAAGTGAAAAAAAATCAAGAAGAATAGAAAAATAGGAATATTAACCTGCTGTGGCCAAAATGTTGTGTTCCCCCAAATTCATTTGTGGAAATTCTAACCCCAAAGGTGATAGTGTTAAGAAGTGGGGCCTTTGGGAGGTGATTGGATTAGTGCCTTCAGAAAAGAAGTGTGAGGGAGCTTGTTTACCCCTTTCACTGTGTGAGGATACTGCCAAGAAAGCACTATTCTATAAATGAGGAAATGAGCTCTCATCAGAAATGAAATCTGCTGGTGCCTGTGATCTTGAACTTCCCGGTCTCCAAAATGAGAAATAAATTTCTGTTGCTTGTAAGCCACTCAGTTTATGATGTTTTGTTATAACATCCTGATAAACCAAGACATTGCCAAATCACACAAAAAAATTATTTTAAAGCTCTAGTATTTAAAATGGTTATCATTATAACCATACCATTTTAAATACTACATTGCAGGGATAGACAAGTGATTAATGAAACAGAATACAGGTATTTGATCATTGGCATTTTAACAAAAGTAAAATGATGAACTATTTTATAAATAGTGCTAGAAAAATCAGTAATTCATATGAAACAAAATGATCTCATTTTTCTATGTTATTTTATGTACAAAAATAAATTCCAAGTGAGTAAATATCTTAATATAAAAATCAACTTTTATCCCTTCTGGAAGTAAGGGTAGTGGCCTGTATTTAGGACTCCAGGTCAAATGAATTTATTAAACAAACATAAAATGTGTAATCTCCAATAAAAAAGATGGGTAACTTTGACTACATTAGAATTTAAAACTTTACTACTAAAAGTGACCTTATAAAATGTGAAAAGGAAAGTCTAACCATTACTAATATTTGGAAAATATGAAGGTTACCTACAAATCAATAAGAAAGAGAAAATCTAATTAAAGCAAAAACAACCATCAAAAAGGCTAGGAACAGGCAAACTGCAAAAGGAGAAACTCAAGTACCTAATAAGCAGATGAAAAGCTGCTCAATCTCTAGTAATTAGAGAAATAAAAAATAAAACCACAATAAAATGTGATTTCATATTCATCAAACTGGTAAACATTTTTTAAAAATGTTTCATACTGGAAAGAAAGTGAAGAAATAATTATCCTCATTCATTGCTGAAGGAAATACACATTTCCTCTGGAAAGAAATTTTGCAATATCTCATAAGTTGGAGGTGTACGTGATCTAAGAGTCAAACTTTCACTCCTAGGAATGTATCCTAGAGAAATTCTCACATTTTTTGTATAAGACATATGTATGAGAATGATTTTTTAAATCACTGTATGATATGTACGATATTATTATGTAGCACCCATTCTACAGTGTTTTACCTATAGTAACTCTTTTCAGCTTCACAATAACCCTCTGAAGTAGATCCTAATTTTATCCTCATTTACAGATGAAGAAATTGAGATACAAAAGAGGAAGAAATTTGCCATGTTCATAGAGCTGATAAGTGGTGAAACAGATTTAAAGCAGATAGTCTGGTCCCAGAGTCCATCCTCCTCACCCATATGTTATAACAGCTCATACGCCTAAAGGGAAAAATTTAGAAACATGTTAAATGTCCATCAACAAAGAACTAAATAAGTATAGTCATATAACAGAAAATTTTACAGTTTCACCTATCAACAAGGGCAAACTGGGTGTGGTGACTCATGTCTGTAATCCCAGTATTTTGGGTGGATGAAGTGAGAGGATTGCCTGAGGCCAGAAGTTCCAGACCAGCCTGGGGAATATACTCAGACCTTCCTCTTACTGTAGAAAAAAATAAAAAATAGAAAAAAAAGAAAAATAGCTGGGAGGGATGGCATGCCCCTGTAGTCTCAGCTATTCAGGAGACTAAAGCAGGAGGACTGATTGGGTTCAGGAGTTCAAGACTGCAGTTATCTGTAATATTGCCACTGCACTCCAGCCTGAGTAACAGAGCGAGACTCCAGACTCCATCTCAAAAACAACAATGACAACAAACAAACAAAAACACCAGAAAAATCTTGAAAAAAAAAGTTACAGATCAGTATGTCAATTTGATATCATTTATACATTTTTATACATTTTACACCATTTAAAAATAAATAAAATACATTATTTTTAGATATATATAATAAAGTGAATATGTTATATATAAGAATAATAAATATCAAATTCTCGTTAACAGAAGATATAATTTGAAGATACCAATTATACATCAATAAAGCTGGAGGAAAAAAATAAAGCAAAGAAATTAGTTTAACACCAGAAAGAAAAAAAAAAAAAAGAACAATTAATGAAGGAAATGGGGCCAGGGAGGAGTATAAGAAGAAATTTCAAATATATCTTAAGGTTAAAAAGAAAGAATTTGAAGAAAGCCTGGCATAACATTAATGTTTGTCAAAATTATGAGATACTCAAATGTTTCTTAAATTATTTTGCATAATTTCCTGTATGTATATTTTATAATGATACTACTACTTGTAAAAATCATAAAAGAAACTCAGCTTAGCACTCACTGTGCAACTTTCTCCTATTTCCTTGTTGCTCTAGATTTGTGAAGCAGGTTGATGTGGTCTTTCCAGGGAGGAAATCTCATCTACTCCTAAATCCGACTATCTTATTCCTAACAGTGTTTTCCATGTGGGCTCCTAAGGTTGTGACTCATCACATTGTGAGCTCTACTCTCCTTGCAATGGCTGCTAGATCCAAAGTGGCATGTAATCTTCGTCACATGTGGTGCCATCCCAGCTCTCCCTACCCCTGTCATTCTTGACTCTGATTCCTACCCCTGTGATCATGATGAGTTTCCTTGGGGAGTGTCTAGTGTCCTTTGTCCTTTTAAGGAAGGTCCAGCTCAAACCATAAGAGTGATTATAATAAAACTCAACCATAAAAGACAATTATTTCTATACCCGTTTTCCTTCAAGTCTCCTCAGGTATTATGCTAATTTTTCTCTATTCTTTTCAGAAGACTGAACATTTCCTGACAAGAAGATTAAAGAGACAGCTTTTATAAGGAAAAAATAGCAACTACAAAATCATCATCCTAAATTCATATCACTAAGAAAAAGACATGTAAGTGCTTCTTCTCCAAAAAAGTATGGTGTGCTTTAAGATGACCCACTGTCCATTCCAAAACTGAGAAGGTATTGACAGCTTTTTAAAATATATATATTATATATATATATACATACATATACACACACACACACACACACACACATATATATATATATATATATTTTTTTTTTTTTTTTTTTGAGACAGGGTCTCACTTATTGCCCAGGCTAAAGTGCAGCAGCACAATCACAGCTCACTGCAGCCTCAACCTCTGGTGTTCCAGTGATCCTCCCACCTCAGCCTTCCTAGTAGCTCAGACCACAGGTGTGCACCGCTACACCTAGCTAATTTTTGTCTTTTGTACAGACAGGGTCTCCCCATGTTGCCCAGGCTGTTCTCAACCTCTTGGGCTCAAGCGATCCTCCAGCAGTGGCCTCCCAAAGTGCTGGGATTACGGGCATGAGCCACGGCACCTGGCCTGACAGCTTTTAAGTAGTAGTACTGATTTCTTAGTTTCTGACTAATCAGGTTCCCACCAGTATGATTCATCCATATTTTAGAAAACCTGAGTGTGGGTATGATGATATTCTGTCTCTACCTTTCGAGTCATCTGCAATTTTAAAGAGATAATTTTTATTATTTTATAGAGTCATTTTTACACAAATTTACACTTTAAGGGAAAGGAATTATGTTCCCACAGCTCAATTTCAGGCATCATTGAGCAGGTGGGAGATCTGCCCCCTTTTTCTGTTTTTGTTTAATTAAGGCTTTGACTTTACTTATGTCTCCATGTAAGACACTCTTTTACTCATGCATTTTATTTCACATAACTAATTCAAATTCTTTCATTTCAACATATATCACTTCTACCTAATTAATATTTATATCCATATAGGAAATAAGTATTTAATATTTGTCTGTTGTAATTTTTTTTAAAAAATCGATTCATCTCTTTATACAATACTATCTGAAATGCAAAACAGTATTGGTTTAATAAGCTCTCACACCATTTCATAGAAAATTACCTTTATCATTCCTGTCTTTCTGTATTGGGATAGAATTTCAAAAGGTAAAATAATATTGTTTTTATGATGATAATGTTATCATAAAATAACCTAACATTTTAAAAGCATTTATTATTTCAGATGTTTTTCCCTCTTACATGATACAGATTTATTCTATATAATTAAGTCTACAGTAATTAATCATACAAGAAGATAAACTGTGCACATTTATTTTTGAGAAGGCAAAAGGGAGCCTCATCTGTGGTGTCCTACACAGTTTAGTGTCTTTTCAGAAATATTTCAAATTCCTTTGGGCCTGTGACACACTTTATTTTACTAACAAAAAAGGCAAGGCAAACAAACTCCCTCCAACCATTTTTTAAAATAAAATTGTAAGACTCGTGCACAGAATGTTTTTGGCAGAAGTCAAAACTTTATTATTCTCCCAACAAACTTCTTGAGAGCTTCTTTAATGATTGTGATATAGGCTCTGCCACATACCTGGCGATAATATGTGTTTGGCAGATAATATCAGGATATCATCTGAGTGCATGGCTATTTATGTTAGAAGTGCTTGTACCTAAGAATCATACGGTTTTATTATAGAAACATCAATGTTCAGCAAGCTCTAGATATAGCTATGATTTAATAATGTTTATCTTTAATTGATTCAGTAAACAGTTGTCAAATGCCTGCTATATGTCAGGGAATAAGAGCTAAGGAAACAAAACTAATAAAATTACTTTCTTGATTGAAGGAATCTCAGTTTCATGAAGAAATAAATATGAATAAACAAGAACAAAAAAGAATAATATTACACATAATGAGGTGGATAAAATTTTATTTGCCACAATGCCTCTATGGTAGAGTGTATTATTATGCATAAATACTCACTGTCCTTTCTGTTTGAAGAAGAGAAATCATAGCTTCCTTAACGTATTGATGCCATATGTGCCTGCATGACTTGATTAACTAATGAGACATGAGGTTAAGTGATGCATATCACATAGGCCAACATGGAGTTTATCATTCTACTTTCCTTTTTCCAAGGAAAAAGGAAAAAAAGAAATTGACTATTAGCATTTCTGCTAGAAGCAGCAATATCTTCCTGAATCTTCAAGTAAAAAATACTTAGAATCATAGCTGACCTGGATTGAACATGTAAGGTGAGTGAGGACTAAACTTTTGTTACTAAGCCTCTGAGACTTAGGGATTATTTGTTACTTGTTATGGTTTGGCTGTGTCCCCACCCAACTCTCATCTTGAATTCCCGCATGTTGTGGGAGGGACCCAGTGGGAGGTAATTGAATCTTGGGGGCAGGTCTTTCCCATGCTTTCTGTTCTCGTGATAGTGAATACGTCTCACGAGATCTGATGGTTTTAAAAAGGGGAGGTTCCATGCACAAGCTCTCTTTTCTTGTCTGCTGCCATATGAGACCTGCCTTTCACCTTCTGCCGTGATTGTGAGGCCTCCCTGGCCATGTGGAACTGTAAGTCCAATAAAATTCTTTCTTTTGTAAATTGCCCATTCTCAGGTATGTCTTTATCAGCAGCATGAAAACAGACTAATACGTTGCTGCAGCATAACCTATGCTATCTGGACTGATACAATCCCTTGGAGTTGCATAGCACGTGTTTTAACAAAATGCTCCAATAAGCCCCTGTGAAGTAAGATTGGAGCCTCTGAAGTCACAGATGGAACTTCACTAAGAGGACTACGCCACTCCAGTTGAGATTCAAGGAATTCATTTGCTGTTAGTAAGATGGACCAATACTATTAGAATTAGGGGTAGAAAGGAGAGGTAGCAGAAGATAAGAAAAAAAGCCACATAAACACAAAACTACAGAAAGCAAAAAACTGCCTAAATATGAGACTGCTGTGGGAGCAGGTGGAGAATATCAGGGCTAGTGATTTGCGTTTTTACAGGCCTCGACATTAACTTAGGTACCACTATATAGTACTAAATTGTTAAGCACTAGGCTACTAGCATTAAATTACTCTATGACATATTTCTCTCCCAGAGTGGGACACAAAATAGATGTGGAAAACAAACAGAAAAAAATCCAGAGCAAGGTACAAGCTTCCCATGTCTGACTAGCTCTACTTGCCCACATAATTATCACATCCCTGCTCATTGACTGATTCCTGTGATTTGTGTTGGCAAGCTGGCTTGCTTGAAGTTTATGGATTGGTTTGCATCCATTTAGAGATCAAGGAACATAAAGCATAATCAAATATATGACACCATATAAATATATACATTTTGGTAGAACTACTTTGGCATAAGGCCTAGACATGTTTTTAGGTTCCAACAATTGCACAGTTGGAGTTTCCAAACAATCGTAAAATATAGCCAGAATTTTATTTTATTTTTTTTTGAGATGGAGTCTTGCTCTGTCACCCAGGCTGGAGTGCAGTGGTGCGATCTCTGCTCACTGCAACCTCCGCCTCCCAGGTTCAATTAGTTCTCTTGCCTCAGCCTCCTGAGTAATTGGGACTGCAGTTGCACGCCGCCACACCCGGCTAATGTTTTGTATTTTAGTAGAGATGGGTTTCACCATGTTGCCCAGGCTGATCTCGAAATCCTGAGCTCAGGCAATCCACCTGCCTTGGCCTCCCAAAATAAGTATAGCCAGAATTTAATGCTATTGCAATAGAGGGATAGAGAACTACCTCCAATATATGTATTTCAGTGTAGCTCTTTAGAGATAGTGCTATATGTTTATTTATTTTCTATCTTTTTAGTAACTTTAGTAGTTGAAAGTTTGGGATGAAAAATGGAAGGTCAGCAATAATAACAGATGGTGCTGTCTGCAAATAGTGCAGGACAGTAACTAGTCAAATATCACGGACAACATTTCTTCAGTCATTCCACGGAATATGTGAATTGTAATCTGTTCCTGGCACTGAGCTGAGCTTAATTTTTGGTCCCTGTGAACCATGTTAGAGCTCCCAGTCTTGTGGAACAGCAAAATATTTAAATTCACAATGCAGAGAAGGCCTTTTTCTTCTCATTGAGAACAAACCAGTCTAGAACTGATGACTCTAATACTTATACCAAACTACCATGCCTTTATAGATTTCATCACTTAGTATGTGGATCATATAGAAACTCAATAAGATATTTTTTATATTTATGCTTTCTGTCAGTAAGATAATAATGTGGATAATTTGATATTTGAATTTATCTGATCAAAGTTCATCACAAAATTATTTCAGCATTTTATATTATCTCTCAAGCACACCATTTATTTGCTCTTTGATTTTATTTCAGAAGTGTTGATTTTGATCATATCTGAAACATGTATAATTCCAATCCAAGTAAATTCTAATTTATGTGGTTCATTTCACAATCTTTAGGAACTTAACTACAAATAGTAAAATAGTTCAACGTCTGTAACTTTTTTGATTATATTAATTAACTTTAAGTTCTACAGATTTTTAAATGAAAGATTTTTAAGGAAAAAAATCTGTAGAAACAGGAGGAAGAAGAACATGAAAGCACAAATAAAATCACAAAATATTCTTAGATACAGACAACTCTTGATTGCTCAGAAAATTAACTAGTTTCAGATATTCTGAAAGAGCTGGCTAGGGAGTGGGAGGGTGTTAAGGAATCAAGCAGGTGATATTTCTCAGTTTGCAGTCAGTAATTTGGAGTTTAAGCTTTAATGTCCCCTTTACTACCTCCTATAAGGGTTGCTAATCAAGGATAATTACCCAGATTATAAAGCTTTTTCCTGGGGAGATAAATGAACAGAAGAAGGACACAGCTGCAAAACCAGGATGAGCAATGCTTCTCAGACTTTACTGTGCCCACTAATCACACGGAGATTTTGTTAGAATGCAAATTCCGAGTAAGCAGATCTGGAGCTGGGCCTAAGATTCTGCGTTTCTAACAAGCTCCCACCTAATACCTACGCAACTGATTCTTGCATCACACTTTTTTGAGTGGCAAGACTGGACTTAGTTCTAATGATGTTTTATCTATGACTTCCTCATTATTGCAGTTAATTGAGTATCCACTCTATTTTTTCTTGCATTAGCAGAATTGTTTATTTATAGGTGATAAAATGATAAAAATAATACAAATCTCTTTACTTATGTTTCTAATCTATTATTTTGTTTAAATGGAGTAGAAGTCGGAAGAATGAAATTGAGACAAAGGTATTTTTTCAAATAACCATTTTAGAAAAATTAGGTAGCAGAAAGAAAGAAACATCTCTTTATCCAAATGATAGCTTGTTTTTAATTTGGCCATATAACATTTTTATTTAAAATATCAAAAATAATTTGTGTAATAGTCAGTTTAGTCCTATCTAGCTAGTTTGCTTAGAGCAATTTAAATTTTATGTCTCCACCTGTAAAATAAATAAATTGAATAAAATTAGTTGGATTACCTTAAAATTCTGAAATTGTATAAGGACGTTTTTATACTTTTACTTAGCGCTAACATAAGTTAACACTGATCAGTGAATCTAGTAAAAGTTTGACCTCAAGTCCTAAAAAATCAAGTGTGAAACAATATAGAAATCTGATATCTTACTGAGAAACAAAAATAGGATAACAGGCTTGAATGCCAGCTCTGCTCCTTCTTGACTGAGGAACTCTGTTTTGCTTCAGTTTCTCATTCAATAAAAAGGTGAAGGAAAACTGAAAATGTGTTGATTAAATTCTTTAAATTGCTGATGAACTTACAAGGCTGAAAATGAGAAGCAATACAGCATGGAAGATTTTTCCTTTTTTTTCCTTTTTGTACACCTCTGATAGAAGCCTCAGATAAAAGTAAAACTCCCAAAATTCAATGTCATTTGTAAATTAATCCTGACAACTACAGAGGGTGAATAAGAACTGTCAGGTTTTATACTACTATGGTAGTCAAAGCCAACTACAATGCTCTTCTAAAAGAAAGGAGGTATTCTTAATAGAAACATCAATTTTGAACTTTATTATTAAGGCAATATTTAGGGTTAAAAAGTAGTTTACTAGTATTGTTTGGAATTTACCTTTGGAATTTAAAGTATTTGAGAAAAATCACGTGTAGTAAACCCACTTCTGCTTCTGGCTAAAATGAAGTAATATGGACAAGATGTAACTTCATGACTGAAAAGAAAATTTTAAGAATCATACAAAAATTATGGGTTTTTAAGACATTGGAGATCCCCTAATTAAAGACAGTGATCTTTGAGAGACATGAAACAAATGAGATGAGGCTGATAATTGCCCTATCTTACTACCTGGAAAGACTCATTGGGCCTCGATGCCAGGACAGGAAACACAGGAAGGACTTAATGATCTCCCTGATATGAGCAAACTGAGTTGGGAGTCCAGGGAGGTAAAGGTGGCTAGAGTTTTCAGGGCTGGGTATGTGACAGGAATGAGCTTCATAGAAAGAAGCTTTAGAGCCTTGGCCTACTTAAGTTCTCTGCTGAGTACTGATTAGTACATCCATGTGAAGAAACTACCCAAGGCCAAGAAAAGAGCCACCCAAAAGGATTAGAGGGAATAAACCCAGGAGTTAACACATAGCCAGGAATAGTTACTTTTACCAAAATCCAGAGTAGAAATTTTACTAATTAATGGTGAATTAGCTAGACTGCTAAAAAAGGTTTTAAATCACTGGTAGAGCAAAATTAACCCTAGAATAAATGTTGCTTTGATAAAGGCTAAAAAGCCTTAAAAGCAAGAGACGAATGACCAAATGGTTTCTAAATGATGTAACCGTTTCCCAGAAAAAGAGTTCAAGAATATTTATAGGAATAGGTAGATATCCAACATCTAATAAGGTAAAATACATAATGTCTGGCATCCAATCTGTTCTGCAAGGAGGCATGAAAATATAACTCATAATGAGGAAAACAAATAAATCAATATAAACCAACCCAGAAATGACTCAGATAATGGAATTAGCAGACAAGAACTTGAAAACTGAATTATAAGTGTATTCCATGTGTACAAGAAACTAGAGAGAAGATTGAACACATTAAATAGAGATAAAAACGATATTAAAAATACAAAAGACAGAATCCTAGATCTTAAAACTTTAATATCTAAGATTTAAAATACCGATTTAGAATTACCAGTAGATTAGACATAGCAGACAAAGAGACTTTTGTGCCTGAATACACAATACGAACTATCCAAAATGAAACACTCAGAGAAAAGTCTTAAAAAAAAAAAAAAGAGCACAACTTCAGTGAGTTGTAGTACATTTCAAGTGGTCTAATATACATGTAATCAGAGCCTTCAAAGGAAAGGAGTAAAACAAAAATTATTTGAAGACATAATGACTAAATCTTTTCTAAATTTGATGAAAATTGTAAGCCCACAAATCCAAGATTCTCAACAAATTTTCAAGCATAAGAAACATGAAGCAAACTACATCAAACTACATCATAATCAAATTGTTTAAAACCAGTGATAAAGAGGAAATCTCAAAAACAGTAAAAAAGACACATTACATTAAGAGGAACAAAAATAAAGATGACAGCAAAATTCTCACTGGAAACAATGCAAGCCAAAAGACATTAGATCAACATCTTTTTACGGATGTTGTTCAACGAAAAAAAACTGTCAATCTACAACTCTATGCTCAGAGAAAATATGTTTCAAAAATGAAGGCAAAGACACAAAGACGTTTTTAGACATATAACTGACAACAACTTTATTACCATCAGTCAAAAAATATGTTGAAGCAAGTCCTTCAGACAGAGAAAATGATACCATATGGAAATTGGATCTGTGCAACTGAATGATGAGAACTGAAATGTAAGTATGTGAGTAAATAAAAGGACTTAAAAATAGTTTAAAATGTTTAAAAGGTATTTGACTGTTTAAAGCAAAAATGATAATGTATAGTTGGGGTTATAACATATGTAGAATTAAAAAGTATAAAAAGATCAAAAAGTTTAAAGGGGAAATGGAGGCATCCTGTTGTAAGTTTCTTATACTACACAGAAATTGATATCTTATTTGGGGTAGACTACAATAGATTAAATGTGCATACTATTAAACAGTAAAGCAACAGTCAAGAAAACAAGAGTAATAAACTAATGAAAAAAATAGAAAATCAAATTGTAAAAAAAGCACTCAACCCAACAGAAGATGGGAAATGAGAAAAGGGCATAAAAAGAACAGCACAAACAGAAAACAAATAATAAGATGGCAGATTAAAATACAATCATATCAATAATCATATTAAATATTAATGATCAAAAAACTCAAAAAGGCAGAGATTATTGAGTAAATTTAAAAAAGCAAGAACACACTGTATATGGTCTACAAAAAAACCCTTAAGTATAAATAAACAAATATATTAAAAACAAAAAGATGGAAAAGGGCATGGCATCTTAACACTAATCCAAGGAAAGATATAATGTCTATATTAATATCAGACACAGGAGAATTCAGAGGAAAAATATTACCAGGGATAAAAAGTACCACTTCATTATAATAACAGGGTCAATTCATTGAGAGGTTTTAACAATCCTAAATGCTTATGCACTTATCAATAGAGCTTCGAAACACCTGGAGCAAAAATTAATAGAACTTTAAGCAGAAATATACAAATCCACAAATGTAGTTGGAGATTTTAATACCACTCTCTCCATGACTGATAGAAAGTAGATAAAAAATTAAGTAAGGATGTAGAAGTTTCTAAAAGGTGAACAACCAACTGATCTTATTTAAATTTTTAGAATACTCAACAATAGAGTGAGGAGAGTACAAAAATACATTATTTGATGACAGTTAAATTATTAATAGAAAAATCAATAGTGAGAAAATATGTGGAAAATATTCGAATATCTGAAAATACCCACATAACCACATATTTATTTGTAAATATGAATATCACATTTATAAAAACTCATATGTGAAAGAGGAAATCGTAAAGGGAATTTTAGAATGTATTTTCAATTGAATGAAAATGAAATGCCAAATATCAAGTGTAAAATAAAAAGCTATAAAACTTCTAGAAGAAAAAACACAAATCCTTGTGATTAGAGTTTTCAACCTTGGCACTATTGACATTTGGGACTAGACAATTCTTTTGCATGGGGTGGGACGGGGCGGAGAGGGAGCGTGTGCACACGCATGTATGTAGGGGGTGACATTTTCTGTGTGTTGCAGGATGTTTAACATTTTCTCTTGCCTCTACCCTACATGCCAGTAGCAACCCCCCACTGACACTAATTGTGATGACCAAAAATGTTTCCAGACTTTGCCAAATGTGAACTGGGGGAATTGAGAAAATTGCCCCCAGTTGAGAAGCACTAAAGATAGATATTTTACATAGAATATCAAAACACAGACCACGAAAAGAAAAACATAATAAATTTGATTAATCAAAATTAAGAATTTTTGCTTTCTAAAGAGATTGTATAAAGTATGAAAAGACAAGCTACAGAACGGCAGGACGCATCTGCAAATAACATGTCTGGTAGATGACTTGTATCCAGAATATATAAAGGACTTCCAAAATTCAATAATAAGAAAGCAAACCACGAAATAAAATTATTAGGCAAAACATTTGAAACAATCACTTCACCAAAATGATATATGGATGGCAATTAAGCCCATGAAAAGGTGCTCAGTATTGTTAGTTATTAGAAAAGTTCAAATTAAAGCCACAATGATATACAACTGCCAAAGAATTAGAAGCTAAAACTAAAACAGACTGGGCATACCAAGTGTTGGCAAGAAGGTGGAACAACAGAAACCCTCATACACTACTAACAGGAATGTAAAATATTACCACAACATTGGAAAACAGTTTGGCAGATTCTTTAAAATTTAAATATTTACCTACCATGTAATACAACCATTGTATTCCTAGGTATTTACCTAAAAAAAAAAAGCATATATTCAAACAAAGAATAGTTCATAGATGCTTTATTATGCTCATAGCCGCTTTATTTGTAATAGCCAAAAACTGAAAAATAAAAATTCTACCAATAATTGAATGGATAGACAAATTGTAGTACATCTAAAGAATGAAATACTAGTTGGCAATTAAAAAGAATTACCCATCTTTATATGCAATAACATAAATGGCTCTCAAATATGCTGAGTAAAAAAAGCCAAAAGAAAAAGACAACATAGGATATAATTTCATTTATGTTAAATTATAGAAAGTGCAAACTAATCTATAGTGACAACAAATAACTCAGCGATTGAAGATGAGGGGAGACAGGAAGAAACTAAAAGACTGAAAAGGGGTAAATGCAGACTTTTGTGATAGGTATAGTCATTATCTTGCTTATGTTGATGGTTTTACAGCTATTCACATATGTCATAAACCTACCAATTTACACACTTTAAATGTGTACAGTTTATAGTGTGTCAATTATGCCTTAATAAAATCATTTTTCTAAAAAAAAAAGTACCTAAACAAAATCACATGTAATTCCTTTGATAGCTATAATATAAACATGTGATTTATGGTGAAAAAAAGGATAATTTGGGGAAGAATTGAAAGCAAAATTTTTTAAATGAAGGACAAACTTGTCATAGGCAATAAATATTGACACATTTTTTAGTTGGTAATTTTGCTGCACTGTTTTATGAGAGAAATTTAGCACTGTTAATTGTTAATTCACACTGTTAATTGTAAATTTTGCAACAGCACCATGATTCTGTTCCATACTGATTTCTAGTGACTATGTGATGAGAATGATAGAGAATGACTCTAGAAGGGCAAAGAACTTAGAATGTTTCCTCCAATGTCTCTTCAGTACACACAATTTTAAAGGACAGGATAATAAATGTTTCCCAGGTGAGGAGAAGGGACAGGAATTGAGGAGTTTAAATATTATAGATGAAAGGAAAGTCCCTGTCTTTCTCACCCCAATTGAGGAATTAATCTCCTTCATGAGGAGAGGCTGTCCACTATACACAGGAGAAACAGTCATTCTTAGAACCATCTTTTCTACATTCATTAGTTCTCAATCATTACCATTTAGAAAGAGCTTTGGATCATGGGGAAGAAAACAAAAACAAACAAACAAAAATACATAAGGTTGGAAGCCAGACAGATTTGAATTTGAATCTTGGATATTTCACTCATTAGCTGAGCCTTGGTTTTTAATCAGTGGAATGGATAAATTAATGTCAGTATTGCAGGATTATTGTGAAGATTAGAGAAAATTTCCATAAAGGATCAAAGGTGATAGGAAGAGAGAAGGCTGAAATTGTCTAAGCTTCTTCATATTCATTCATTCATACATTTATTTATTCATGTGGCCACTTTTTATTTTAGCCTGTACTATGTATCAGAGGTCAGACACTCCTCTAGATGCATGAGTCAATCATTGAAAAAGATGTAACCTTGTTAAATTACAGCAGAGAGGCCCACAGTTAAAATAAATATGGTAAATAAATAAATTACATCATTTGTTAGAAGGTGAAAAATTAAAGCAAGTTAAGGGAATTCAGTAGCATAAAAATGGGGCTAGTTTTAATTTTAAATTGGAGGAGGGGGTGTTCAGGGTAAGCCTCACTGAGATAGTGACATTTGACAAAAGAGATAAGGGAATTCCCATTGTGAATATTTGATGGAATGACATTCCAGGCAGAGAGAAAGCTAGTGCAAAGTCTTAAAAGCTAAAGAACACCAATGAAAAACCATGAAAGACTAAGGAGAAGAAAGTAGATGAAGTTAGAGATATATGTGGGTGGTGGAGGGGGCAGAGAGAGGTGACTAGTAGAGATTGTACTGAGTCTTGTGCTATTTTAAGGACTGACTTGCTACAAGTGAAATAGAAAAAAATTTTGACTAGAGGAGTGACATAATCTGACTTATATTTTAAAAAGATCACTCTGGCTACAATATTAAGACTAAAATGGGTAAGTATGAAAGCAGGAAGAATAGTTGAGAGGGTATTACTGGGCTCTAGGAGAGAAACAATAATGGCTTGGCCCTAGTTAGAGGAGGTGAGGTAGATATATTGTAAAGACAGAACCAATCCTTCTGTCTTTTTTGAGGACAACAGGCAAACCCTGAATGAAGCCAACAGTTTGAAGCCCTCTTTCCTTCCTAGCCAGGCAGTAGACTGGGTTCAAAGAACTGTATCTAGGATCCATGGTTGTGCATAAGCATGACTTTCCATAATTTGGAAATCCCTATAAGTTAATGCGACTATGCCTCATGTTTCTGTTCAAAATTTTCTGAGAAATTGGAAAGGAAGCCAAGCCTTCTTTAGCTTTTAAGCTGAGAGAATCCAAGGAGCCAAAGTGGATTTTTCCTGGTAGCAGTGATAGGGTCTAATAATCTGCTGCTGCTGCTGCTATTGGCTTATAACAGGAGAGACACTGGTTCTCTCCATCACGTTCACTGCTGCCTGAAATTATAGTGATGTTCGTTCACTGTCCAGATTGCCCTCAGGAATGATGAACATATTCGCCAGCTTTCAAAAGTACTACCAAAGGTGGCTTTCAACTGTCCATAGGTGTTAGTCCAAAAACCACTCCCTATTAAAGACAGTGCACACAAATCTCCATTCCAATTCCATTTTCTCAACCCAGGACAGTACTATGGCAACTGCACCTGAGATATAGTGAGAAGAACAAACACGTAATCATTCACCTGAGGGTCCAACAGTCTGTTCAAAGAAGAGCAACAAAACATTTAGCATAGTTCTTTATTTAAATAGAACCTCTGAGGAAGAACTTTTAAGGAAGAACATTTATAGGAAATATTTCTGAAAATAAAACACATCTTCACAATAAAAGACACTCTGCAGATATATTAGGGTATGGACACTTGAAATCTCAAATAGAGGATCCAGAGGAAGAAATACCACAAAAAGCAACACAAAAGCACTAACACATGGAAAATGTGAGTGAAGATGAGAGATGTAAAGGATAGTACAGGCAACTAATGTAACATTTGAAGAATATTAGTTCTAGCAGAAGGAAAAAAGACTACATGGAAAAGATGAAATGATCAAATAGTAAAAGAAATTTTCTCCAAGCTAAATAAATATTTAAGCTTGCAGATTAAAATGCCTCATCAAATTCCAAGTAATGTTGATGAAATAGATTTATGTGAAGGCACAATCTGAATTTTTGAACTGCAAAATTATAAGGAAGCGTTACAAGCTTCCAGGTAGAAAGAACAAGTCACTTGCAAAGAATAAGAATCATTTGTGTCCAACTTCTTATCTGCTAGAAAGCAAAGGATTAATACTCAGACTACTGAGAAAATAGGATGATAAACTAATCATTCTTTAGACAGACAAGATACCAGTCTCCTGGAAGAGAGAAAGATATTTGTTAATAGTCAAATATTCAGAGAGTTTATCACCCACATTCATCATTTGAGGATAATAGTTTTAAAAAATTATAGTTAAAGCACAGATTTACTAGAGCTGAGAATTTGAGATAAGGAAAATAAAAAGAAAGAAAAGATTAGTAATAACCCTAGCAGTACAAATGCAGCTAAATCTGAAGGGATAATGATACACTATCTGTCAGGAATATGGAATATAACTTTCTAAGAGATTATACAACTTGTGAAGAAATAAAATATTAAACTGCCTTAGTAAAATCTAGGAGTATAATTAGGAGCTGGAAAGAAAAAGGCAGAGTAGTTCTGAATGTTTCAGTAGACTAGGGAGATGTGGATGAAAGGAACAGGGGTCCGAAACACTAAATTGTCAGACTGAGGAGTATGGAGGGGAAATGGGTTGTCACAGAAAAAATACTTTGTATGATTTGGGGGAATGATGTAACTGTTTAGGCCTTGTTTGTTCCATTTATTCAGCAAATATTCAATGAATATAAACAGGATGTCATTTATATGTCACACACTTTTCTATGAGTTGAAGGCACACCATTTGAACAAAACACACAATTTCTATCCTGTTGTGTCTCCAATTTTAATTAAAAAAAGAGAATAAACTGAGAGATACACTGTTTAGAGAAACAGAGTATCATAACGGAGAGTTATATGGATATAGACATAAAAATAATCAGGCATAAAAGAGACCAGACTAGGTACTTCCTTGAAATTCTTGCTTGTCATACAATGTATGATTAGTGTAAAAGTTTGCCAGAATACAAATAACATAGTTTTGATATGACCACATTTACCAATACTTAACATAATAATCACCAAATTTCATAAGAAAAAATGTAGAAATGACTCCAGAACCTACTGGGAAAATCCAAGGGACCTCCAAAATAAAATGGCTGCAAACTCAGCTGCAAACTGTTTCCTTCAACTATAAAACTTTGTATTACTTTCCACTTAAATAAAAATAAGTCTTCACCTTGATTCTTACCTCGTATTGGTAAATTTTACTAAATAATTAAGAAAATAAAACTCTTAAATGACTGTATGAGTGAATAAATAACATGCATATAACCACTCCCAACTCTAAATACCACAGAATAGAAACAACAGCTTTTTATTTAATAAGATCCAATTCACTCTTAGGATCTTCACTTTCAGGTACTTTTTCAGAATTTCTTGTGTCTTTTTCTTTACCAGTGTTCTCCACATAAAATGAGTTCAAGTTTCTTTGCAGTCATTAATCAACCAGCAAAAAAGAAAATGTGTAATATATGCAAATCGAAGTATTTCATCCAAGATTTTTTATTGTGTCTTGTCTATGAATAGAAAGATGTATGTATGTTTACATGCAATATCACCTATTTAGCTTGTTTCAGTAGTCTTACTTAATGTTCTGGGGTTTTTTTTCTCTTCCTGTAGTTAAAATAATGTGTAAGAAAAATGAGTTATATTTTTCTATTAAAATTTTTTAGCCAAAACTACAACACAGACTGAAGGAAAATATTTTCAACATAATCAACTGAAAAACAGAACCTAGAATATATAAACTTCATCAAATTTATACAAAAGATAAATAATAGTATACTGTCCAACAGCATACTATGCACAACTAAAATGAAAGAATGAACAAGTTCTAGACATATCAACATTGGTAAATATATAATCATGTTGAGTTAGAATGGCCAGTTCTAAAAGTTTATTACCATTTGGTATAATGTATGTAAACTTAAAATCTGAACTAACAATCCTATAAATGTCGATAGACTATATGCCTTTAAAAAGGGAGGTACAAGGATTGACTGCAGAAATGGACATTCAACTGTATCTATAATTTTCTCTTTTAAATGACAAATGTGACAAAATGTAAACATCTTTAAAATCTAGGAAAAAAGTATTTTGGGCTAATTAAAATATTATACAATTGTTAAATATTAAGTCATCTTGCTTTTAAACTGTGTCATAAAATATTGTCTATGTTGCTTTGAGTTATTCTAAGCAGCAAGCAAAAAATATATTATTATTCCTGAAAAAATGTGGTAGTTGACACCATTTTTTTGGTTTCTCAAATACTAAATCTGTAATTTTATCTTCAATAAAAAAGTGCTTCTATGCTTCATGAAGCTAGAAATCAATTGGAAGAATTTAGAAAAATTCCCAAATACATGGAAATTAAACAACAAGTTCCTGAACACTAAATAGGGCAAAAAGAAAATTTAAAAATTATCTTGACACAAACAACAATGGAAATACAGCATATCAAACTGTATATGATGCAGTGAAAGCAGTTCTAAGAAGGAATCTGATAGCAATAAATGCCTACATCAAAAAAAAAAAAAGATCTCAAGTAAACAACCTAACATTATCTACATAAAAACGAGAAAAGGAAGACCGTAAGCTCAAAGTGAGTAGAAAGAAGAATGTAATAAAGATCAGAGCATAAATTAATGAAATAGAGACTAGAAGAACAATAGAATTTTTTTTTTTTTTTGAGACAGAGTCTCACTCTGTCGCCCAGGCTGGAGTGCAGTGGCACAATCTCGGCTCACTGCAGGCCCTGCCTCCCGGGTTCACGCCATTCTCCTGCCTCAGCCTCCCGAGTAGCTGGGACTACAGGCGCCCGCCGCCACGCCCGGCTAATTTTTTATATTTTTAGTAGAGACGGGGTTTCACCGTGTTAACTAGGATGGTCTCAATCTCCTGACCTGGTGATCTGCCTACCTCGGCCTCCGAAAGTGCTGGGATTACAGGCGTGAGCCACTGCTCCCGGCCGAAAAAAAATTAACAAAAGTAAGAGCTGTTTTTTTTGAAAAGGTAGACAAAATAAATCATTAGCTAGACTAAGAAAGGGAGAAAAGTCAAATAGATAAAATTAGAAATTAAAAAGACAACTAATATCATAAAAAGAACAGTAACAGAGTACTATGAACAATTATGTATCAACAATTTAGGAAGATTAGAAGAAATGAATAAATTCCTAGACACATACAACCTACCAAGACTGAATTATGAAGAAATAGAAAATATGAATAGACCAATAATGAGTGATGAGATTGAATTAGTAATAAAACTATCTCATCAAAGAAAAGCCCAGGACTTGATGGCTTTATTGCTGAATTCTACCAAACATTTAAAAACCTAACACCAAATCTTCTCAAACTATTTCAAAAAATTGAAGAACAAAAAATTTTTCCAAATACACTTTATGAGGCCAGCATTACCCTAATAACAAAGCCAAATAAGGATATGACAAGAAAAAGAAATTACAAGTCACTATCCTTGATTAACACAGAAATAAAAATTCTCAACAAAATACTAGCAAATCAAATTCAAAAGGATATTATGAGGATCATTTATCACGATCAAGTGGGATTTATCCCAGGGATGCAAGGATGATTTAACACATGCAAATCTATGAATGTGAAATACCACAAGTGATATGATTTTATATATATATATAATATTATATATTTTATATATAATATATTATACATTTTATATATAACATATTATATTTTATATATTATATATATTATATATATTATATATTATATATATTTTATATAATATATATATTATATATTTTATATAATATATATATTATATATTTTATATAATATATATATTATATATTATATATTTTATATAATATATATATTATATTATATATTTTATATAATATATATTATATATAACATATATAATATATATATAGGTTTTTTTTCACCTTCCTGGCTCATAATTCCCATAGCCCTTATTACAGTCTTTTGTTATAATGTTAGGTATGTTAAACCTCAGGAGCAGGCATCTGGAAACAATCTCTCTGACCTTTTCCTGCTCTCTAGAGTCCCAAGGTAGGACTATAATTTGATTGTAGGTCTTAAGACTCTCCCTAGAGAGGATTTCACCCTATACCCTTAGGGAAGGAAGGCTGACATATGAAGCTTCCATGAAAACCCAAGAGGACTGGATTAGGCAAGCTTCTAGATAACCATGGAGGTTCCTGGCGGCTGGCATACCCAGGCACATGTGCTCCTTACCCCCACCTAGCCCTACACATCTCTTTATTGTAGTTATTGTAATATCCTTTATATTACACTGGTCGACGTGTTTCACTGAGTTATGTTACTCACTCCAGCAAATTAATCAAGCTCAAGGAGGCGGTCTATCTCCAGGTAGATAGTGTCAGAATTGAATTGGAGAATACTCAGCTGGTGTTTAATACTTGTTAATGGGGAAAATAAACCACACATTTGATCACAGAAGTCTTCTGTATTGATTGTTGTGGTGTGAGGGCAGAGGAAAAACATGATTTTAGTATTTTTCCCAAACATCACATTAACAGCATATAGGTCAAAAACCATATAATCATATCAATAAATGCAAAAAAATTGACAAATTTAACTTTCTTTCATGATGAAAATAACTA
The DNA here is from genome assembly GCF_000001405.40 of Homo sapiens. Taxonomy (NCBI): domain Eukaryota; kingdom Metazoa; phylum Chordata; class Mammalia; order Primates; family Hominidae; genus Homo; species Homo sapiens. Next base: position 188,262,647 of record NC_000002.12, read on the forward strand.
TTAATAAATTAGATACAGAGGGAATATACTTCAACACAATAAAGGTCATATGTGACAAGCCCAGAGCTAACATCATACTCAGTGCTGAAAATTTGAAAGTGTTTCCTCCATGATCAGAACAAGACAAGGATGTCCCTTCTCACTACTTCTTTTCAACATAACACTGGAATCCTAGCCAGAACAATTAAGCAAGAGAAAGAAATAAAAGTCATCCACTTCAGAATAGAAAAAGTTAAATTGTGATTTTTTTTGAGACAGAGTTTTGCTCTTGTCGCCCAGGCTGAAGTGCAATGGTGCAATCTCTGCTCACTGCAACCTCTGTCTCCTGGGTTCAAGCGATTCTCCTGCCTCAGCCTCCTGAGTAGCTGGGATTACAGGTGCCCACCACCATGCCCAGCTAATTTTTGTATTTTTTTTTAGTAAAGACAGGGTTTCACCATGTTGGCCAGGCTGGTCTCAAACTCCTGACCTCAGGTGATCCACCTGCCTCGACCACCAAAAGTGCTGAGATTACAGGCGTGAGCCACTGTGCTTGGCCAAATTGTCATGGTCTTATATATAGAAAACACTAGACTCCACCAAAATCTGCTAGAACTAATAAACAAATTCAGTAAAGTTACAAGGTACAAAATCAACATATAAAAATCAGTGATGTTTCTATACAATAAACACAATCTATTCAAAAAGAGAAATCAAGAAAACAATTCTATTTACAATAGCTACAGAAAAAATAAAATAGGAATAAATTTAACCAGGAAAGTGAAAGAACTGTACGCTGAAAACTGTAAAACATTGATGAGAGAAATTAAAGAAGACACAAATAATTGAAAAGATATTTCATGTTCATAAATTAGAAGAAATAATATTGTTAAAATGTCCATACTACTCAAGGCAATCTACAGATTCAATATAACCCTTATTAAAATTCCAATGACATTTTTTACAGAAATAGAAAAAAATCTTAAAATTCATATAGAACCGTAAGAGATCCCAAATAGTCAAATCAATATTAAGTAAGACGAGCCGGGTGCAGTGGCTCTCACCTGTAGTCCCAGCACTTTGGGAGGCCGAGGCGGGCAGATCACGAGGTCAGGAGTTCGAGACCAGCCTGGCCAACATGGTGAAACCCTGTCTCTACTAAAAATACAAAAAATTAGCCAGGTGTGGTGGTGGGAGCCTGTAATCCCAGTTACTCGGGAGGCTGAGGCAGGAGACGCGCTTGAATCCGGGAGGTGGAGGTTGCAATGAGGCGAGATTGTACCATTGCACTGCAGCCTGGGCAACAAGAGTGAATCTCCGTCTCAAAAAAAAAAAAAAAAAAATGAGTAAAAAGAACAAAGCTAGAGGCATCACACTACCAGACTTTAAAATGTACTGCAAATCTATAGTAATCAAAACAGCATGTTACTATTATAGCATATGGACACATACAGAAATGAAACTTAATAGAGAGCTCATAAATAAATCCATGCATTTGAAATCAACTGATTTTTGACAAAGGCACCAATAACACACAATAGGGAAAAGACTTTCTTCAGTAAATAACGTTGGGACAACTGGATATCCATATGTAGAAGAATGAAACTAGACCTTTTTTTCCACACCAAATACAAAAATCAACTCAAAATTGATTAAAGACTTAAATGTAAGATCTGAAACTGTAAAACTACTAGAAAGGAACATGGGGAACAGCTCCATGACATTGGTATGGGAAATACATTTTTGGATATGAACGCAAAAGCACAGGGAACAAAAACAAAAATAGGCAAATGGGATTATATCAAACTAAAAAACTTCTGCACACTCAAGGAAAATATCAACAGAGTGAAGAGGCAACATACAGATTGAGAGAAACTATTTGCAAACCATACCTCTGATAAGAGATTAATATCCAAAATATATAAGAAACTCAATATTACTTTTAGAAAACCAAATAATTAATTTTTAAAATGGGCAAAGGTCTTGAGTAGACATTTCTCAAAAGAAGACATACAAATGGGCAGCAGGTATACGAAAAATATGCTAAACACCACTAATCATCAGAAAAATGTAAATTAAAACCACAAGACAGATGACGGGTTGACAGGTGCAGCAAACCACCATGGCACATGTATACATATGTAACAAACCTGCATGTTCTGCACATGTATCCCAGAACTTAAAATAAAATAAAAAATTTTAAAAAGCAAGATATCATCTCATACTTGTTAAGATGGCTATTATCAAAATACAAAAGACAATAAATGTTGACAAGGTTGTGGTGAGAAGGAAACCACTGTACAGTGATGCGGATAATGTAAATTAGTGTAGCCACTATAGAAAACAGTATGAAGCTTCCTCCAAAAATTGAAAATAAAACTACCGTATGATCCAGTAATCTCACTATTGGGTATGTATTTAAAGAAAATGAAATCAGTATGTGAAAGATACCTGAACTCTCATTTTCATTGCAGCATTATTTATGACAGCCAAAATATGTATCAACGTATGACTAGATAAAGGAAATGTGAGATATATACGTATAACAGACATACAATGGAATACCATTGTACATATAATAGACATATATTGTATATTGGATACATATAAAGGAATATCATCCAGCTTTAAAAAGAAGGAATTCCTGACATTTGAGAAAACATGGATGAACTTGGAGAACATTACATTAAGTGAAATAAGCCAAGCACAGAAAGACAAATACAGCATGATCTCACTTATATATGGAATCTAAAAAAGTTAAATTCATAGAAGTAGAGAGTAGAATGGTGGTTACCAGAGGCTGGGGTGAGGGGTGAGGGGTGAGGGTGGGGAGATGTTGGTTAAAGGATACAAAATTTCAGTTATATAGAAGGAGTAAGTTCAAGAGTGCTATTGTGCAACATGATGACTGTAGTTAATAACAATATATTATATTCTCAAAAAATGCTAAGAGAGTAGATGTTGTGTTGTCACCACAAATGTGATAAGTGTGTGAGGCAATGCATATGTTCATTAGCTCAGTGTAGCCATTCTGCAATGTATACGTATTTCAAAACGGCATATTGTACATGATCAATACATAAAATTTTTATCTGTCAATTAAATAACAATCATAATAGCTATAGAAAATACAAATACAATAAACATTCTTGCCAAGAAGCTTATAAAACCACCCACAAAGTTAACAAATATAGTTTACGAAGGGAAAATAAAAACAAAATAGTATATCTATGCTCCAGAAAGTTCATTCTTATATTTTGTTTTATGAGGATATTTTAAAAATGCAATCAGAAAAATATAATATCTAATTCTGTGTTAAAGTTGAATGTGCCCATATAAAGAATTAAAAGTGAACATTTTTCTACTTAAAATCATAGTGCATTCCACTTTACCTATCTGCTCTCAGTTTCATTCTCCAACTTTTCCTCCTTTTTATCTATATCAGAGGAAACTAAATTTTCCAGAACCCCTTGCCCACTGGCTTTCAACTAGTGCCAACCAATGGGACACACTCAATAGAAATAGGAAGGCAGGATAAAATGAGAAGTCAAGGTTTTTCACTCCACAGTTTTTCCCTGTAGCTCTCTACCTCTACTGTTATGTCCAGCGATGGCCAGTTTTTCTCAGTGGCTCCATTACCCACCAAACAACCCTTTACTGCATGAATGGAGGTCTGTTGTGTAGTGTACTTCCAGCTTCTCCCAGGTAGTCCTGGCTTCTAAGATCCAGTAAGGTGGTCTTCTGGGTTTCTTCTTTCAGCATAATCATGGTAACAACTTCCTGCCATTACAGATTTCTGGATCGTCTTATCCTTTGTTTGGCTTTTTTAGCTCTAATTTCAACTGTGTCAACATTCTCTTTGTTAAATTCTGTTTGAAATCCAAAAGTGGCTTCTGTTTCTCTGACTTGATTCCAATGGATACATCAGCATTGCCAAAAACAAAAAAAACAATAACTGAACCTGCATTGCAATTATAGAACCTGTACAAATGACAAGCATAAAATATGTGGTCAATAAAATATAAAACTCTTTCTTTGGGAGCTCTTATTCAATTCAAGGGAGGGGCCAACTTTCCCAGACCCTTTCATTATCTGCACCTACACTCATTGTGAATGTCATTAATTTATTTCTTCACTCATTGTATTAGGGTTCTCTAGAGGAATAGAATTAATGGGATATATATATGTGTATATATATATGTACATATATACATGTATATACATATATACATATATATGTGTGTGTACATATATATATATATGTACACACACACACACACACATATATATATGTAAAGGGGAGTTTATTAAGTATTAACTCACACGATCACAAGGTCCCACAATAGGACGTCTGCAGGCTGAGGAGCAAGGAGAGCCAGTCCAAGTTCCAAAACTGAAGAACTTGGAGTCCAATGTTCAAGGGCAGGAAGCATCAAACATTGGAGTCTCTCTTTCATGGGAGAAAGGTGTAGGCTGGGAGGCTAGGCCAGTCTCTCTTTTCACATTTTTCTGCCTGCTTATATTCTAGCTGCATTGGCAACTGATTAGATTGTGCCCACCCATATTAAGGGTGGGTCTGCCTTTCCCAGCCCACTGACTCAAATGTTAATCTCCTTTGGCAACACCCACACAGACACACCCAGCATTAATACTTTGTATCCTTCAATCCAATCAAGTTTACACTCAGTATTAACCATCATACTCATCTATTCATTCATTCCATAAAATATTTAATGAGAAACCACCTTGTCCTTGAATAATTTCCTGAGGATATAGAAATGAACAAAACAAAGTTGCTGCTCTTACCATCTTTGGAAGTAGAACTTTCTAAAGTGTTATCAAAAAATGAAGTAATGTAATGCTTATTTGTCTTTAAAATTAATGAAATCAAATTAACAATAGCTATTTTATTAGTGAAGGTTAGCAAAAAAAGTATAATTATTCTATAATTGGGATTTCAAATTTAGCATGACCATTCCTAGTTGGAGTAGACAGTTAGAATTTTTCATTTCCAGCAAGAAGTTCTTCTTTACTATGGTGTATTTCAGTACATGACCAAAAACTTGTTTCACTAAAAGTACAAAGTTAAATTTCCACACTTGTTGTCACAGGAGTTTCAGTTTACTAAAAAGAACTGCTGCCTTTTGATATCATAACCTGTGCATGAAGCATTCTCATTCTTTTAATAGAATGACCCCTCATCTATTAGTATAGTAGGTAACATTAGAACTCAGAGATACTCATCGCAGATATTCATGTCAGTTTAAAGCTGCTGGAAAAAATATAATTACACATATTTATAATAAAGATGATTTTTATTCATTGTTTTTATTTGCCACCTTGCATTTTTTTCTATAAAGTGGCTTATTAATACCACTAGTCATACAAACTACTTCACTCAGTTGAATTTTAAACAACATTATGATTTTTAGCTTTGAATATAGTCTATTTGATTATTTGTTTATGACACCGTTATTATGTGTTTTACTCCAATGTGCTTTCACTTTATTTTTTGGACACCATGTGTAAATTTCAAGAGAGAAACAGTGTGATAGCTCAAAAGTGATATTTGACAAGTTTTGCATTCTAGCACCCTACAATATTTAGTAGCCTTGTGATATTAAAAAAATGTTTGATGTGGGAACGCTTTAAAGTGCCTTTAAGATTTCAGACTTCATTATACCCTGTTTTATGAGAAAAACACCAAAATAATAAAAAAGTAGTTCCTCAAGACATAGCTATCTAGCTGAGAAAATATTTTTGGAGTACTTATGCATAAGACATTGCTGTGTTCAGTTTATTTTTCTTTATGGTATTTTTATGCATTCAATATATACTTTGCTTCCACTTTAGTTTCACCATATTAGTTGCTATTGGATACAAAAGTGAATCAGATAAAATTACTATCCTCAAGAATTACCTACTCAGGGGGAGGACCAGACATTAACATAAAGTGTTACTTTTGTAAAAATGGTATGTAAAAGGCAAAGTGTTGGCACAAAAAAGAACGAGGAAGTTTGCATGGGGAAAGTGAGGAGATAGAGATATGTATCATCATTAAAACCTCCATAGAAACTTAACTGTGATCTTTGTGGTAGGCTTTGACATGCAATTTTACTCAAAAGGGCATAAATATATGAAGTAACCAAACAGCATGATATGTCTGGGTCATATAAGCGGCTTTTTATTAATAGACCAAAATGGAAGCAAAAACGGCGGCGAAGTTCAGGGTGAAATATCATGGAATTCTTATAGCATCCTTCCTGTCTTTTTTAGTTAGGAATCTTTTGGCTTCAAAAACCAGAATCTCTAAACTCCATAAGCTGTATATTGAAAATGACTTCATTTCATCATGTAACTGAAATACCCAGGGCTAATATCAGAAGAAGAATCTGAGACTAGATCCAGATGACCTCATTTATTAAAGGCAGTATTTTAGCAATCATATAAAATTGCTGGAGATTCAGGTGATGTACAAAAGGATTTAAGGGAATTAATCAGCTTACCCTAGGCTTCTTACGACTATGTGGGACTGAGAGACAATGTGGACACCATTGCCTCAGCAAGAGCACAGTCACTGGTGAGGAAACCAGGGAGATCTGATTAGCCATGCTCTCTGAACAGCCACTAAGCTGATTTCTTTCATTATCCTTTGCTGCCTTTATATGCTTTGAGGTTATAAATGTAAAATCTAACTTCTAAAAGAGTTGAAGTGTTCATTAAAGTGTTCATTTTCACAATGTGTCAAAGCTAGTGCTCTCTATGAGATTAATTCGCTTCTCAAGAAAATTTAAAATGCCATTACCTTTTCTATCACTCAAGGGACAGATGAAGAAGCATGAACAAATTTAGTAACATTTTTATTAAGACCAACTAACTAGCATCTTCATTTGTTACAATATTTTCTCTACATCCCATATACAAATTGTGTATATTATATATTTTATGACTGACATTTGGAGTCCATAAATTTGCTACACAAATTAATGTGCAAAAGCTCTTATCTTAATTTTGTGCAAAAGTCATCTTAATTATGTTATAACCACTTTAGAAGATAGGCTATATTGTTATAATTTCCTAACCGTAGCCTCTACTACAAAGGTATTTATTTTTTCATCAATTACATAGAGAGTATATACTGAGTCAGACAATGTTCCAATTGTTAGAAAGAGAAAGATGATTCGAACACTATTTCTTATCACAAATTTCAGATTAAATGTTTAGCACTACTGCTTACCACAAGTTAATATTAAAGCAAGAGTCATATTATAACGAGTTTACTGAAGTGCAGTCAAAGAAAGACTATGGTTAGCGTATGAAAAAGTAGATCACACAGAAAGAAAGAAATGTTATTCTATGGTAGAGGAGGAAATTCTCAGGACAATGTCACAGATTAGCTTCTTTAGACCAAATAACGTAATATAAATTAGAGTTTAGAGAGGAAGGAAAATAACACTTCAGTATCTCTTTCTCTCTCTCTCCCTCTCTCTCTCATATATCTATTTAGTGTGGATCTGCGGATTACATTTTCTTTCAGATTCTTTTTATCCAGAAAAAAATGATTTCCCTTTTTCTTTTTGAAGATAATTTTACTAGTATAGGATTCTATGTTGAAATCATTTTATTTCAGCACTATTAAGATGTCATTCCATTATACCCTGATTTCCATAATTTTTGCTAAAAAATCATGTGTACTTTTTTGTTGCTCTTTTAAAGATAATGTGCCTTCTACCCCCTTAATACTTTTAAAAGTCAACTTTGGAATTTTGTTTCCATTTGTTTTCATATAATTGTCCAAATGAGGTTTTTTTTAAAAAAAAAAATTCTAAATGAGTTTAGCAAACTTCTCAAATCAGTTTTGGAAAATGTCAACTAGTATTGTTTCAAATACTGCATTTCCTCTGCTCTCCTAAAATCACAATGCTAGTAAGTTCATAGAGTTAGGATTTGATTACAACTAAGATAATATGAGTTTATTCGCTATATATTTTTTTATTTTTATTTTTATTTTATTTTTTGGAGACAGAGTCTTGCTCTGTTGCCCAGGCTGGAGTGCAGTGGTTCGATCTCGGCTCACTGAATCCTCTGCCTCCCGGGTTCAAGTGATTGTTCTGCCTCAGCCTCCCAAGTAACTGGGACTACAGGCACACGCCACCACACCTGGCTAATTTTTGTATTTTTAGTAGAGACAGGGTTTCACCATATTGGCCAGGCTGGTCTTGAACTCCTGACCTCATGATCTGACTGCCTCGGCCTCCCGAAGTGCTGGGATTACAGGTGTGAGCAACTGTGCCTGGCCTTTGTTATATTTTTAACTTCTATGCTAAAAATATACAATGACCTTCTCTATGTCTGCATTTGTTCAAAAGATTCAGTTTTGTTTAAAATTTTCTCAAATATTTTCTTTAAATTGTATTTTAAGGTATCTTCAAACAAAGCAACGAGTTCAAAAACAATCTTTATTTTATTTAAATCGATATTTTTTCCAAAAAACTCAAGATATGTGCTAAATATGTGGGCTGTGTGTGTGCGTGTGCGTGTGTGTGTGTGTGTGTGTTCAATTTATTAACTGCTGCAGATATGTTAGAATGGGATTTTCCTATTTAAGTAGCATTTCCTGACTTTGACATTAGTATCTTTTTATCTACATATAAGAATTTTACAAATTGTATTTGAAGTCCTTCCTACATTACTCCTGATGACTTTTATTTTAAACAGGTTCTCATTTTCTAAGAGGGTGTTTTTAATATACCGTCTCATTATATGACCCAGAAGTTTATAACAGACTTAGTGTTTCTATCATATACTATTTAAGAAAATGATTTTAAATATAGAAAACGGGAAAGATTTCTATTTGTATCATTACATAGAAAAATCACAATATAATATTAATAGAGAATTATTATTTGTTCCAAGATGTATTAAGACAAAGAAGAAAATGAATAATTATTTTTAGACTAGTATTTGAATTAACAAAGTATTATGCTAATAGATTCTATGTATTATACACTAATATATCTGGAAAAAATAAAATAATATCCAAAATATTTTCAAATATTTAGATTTCTGCTGAGTGATAATGCCATTTCTTTTAAGCATTTTATACAGTTTTTGGTGTATTTAGTGTCCAATTTCTCAATGAGGGATTAATTATTCGAACATGAAAATATTTTGTCAAATTTTAAGATTGTGTTTAGTTGAAACCAGAGGGTGCCATGCAATAAGAAGAATGAAAAAATAAGCTTAAATATTTTGACAATTGCAAATGTGAGAATGTTTTCTTACCAAAAACAAAGTGGCAAAATTTCAATGTTTAATTTTATTTGGAAAAGAGTAAATTATCTTACTGAATTATCGTAATTATATAAATTCCTACATGCAGTCTCTAATTTGATGTTTACTTATCAGTTTTATCATAAATAATTAGTTTCTGTACCAAAATCCTTCATATTTAAAATATAGATGCCAATTAAAGTTGTAGAATTTTTTTGACTATTATTTATGGAAAGAATTTGTAGACCTTATCTATTAAATTACACTTTTAAGTGGTATTTTTCTAAAGAATATATTTTGTGCTGATTCTAATCATTGTATCATATGATTGAAATAACTTACCTATTTCAGTTGAGAATCTAATGAATCAAGTCTGTATGACTCATTTAATTTTGAAAACATTGAGTTGTGTCATAATCTTGGGACCTTGGCTCCAACGTATCCTATAACCTCATTAGAACAGAGGCTTAACCAAGGCTGGGAGCAGAATGGCTAAATGGAATGTTTTGCTGGCCATTATGGGTGCAGTCAGCAATTCAAATAATTATATTTAAAAGATAACTAAAGAATTAACAAGTACATCAATACTTTTAATTATTGACGTATTAATTCCAACTACTGGAAACAAGGGCAGAAACCAAATACAGGATGGAAAATGTGAGCTGTTACCCAGAATAACCAGAGAAATATTGGGCCTGAATGTAGTCCCCAACCACTAGATACAAAGTGCATCTTCCTATAAGAGGAAAGAAGTGTTTTAGTTCAGAGCAATCTGGCTAGATAGAATTGAGATCTCAATGAAAGGAATATTTAATTCCACTAGGCGAAAATATAAACTGTTAACAGAAGAAAAAGAAAACATAATGGCAGAACAAGAATCATGAACAACAAAGAGTAGATTTGAAAAAAAAAATAGAAATTCTGAAAATAAAAAATATAGATACTGCAATTTAATACTACATTGATAGTTAAAACAGAAAACATGATGTGACAAGAACGAATTATTTAATTAAAAGATAGAGAATGCTGCAAATATAAGACAGTATTTAAATGGAGAAGGTTAATATATGATTAAAAAAAAAAGAGTTCCAGAAAAAGAACAGAGATATACAGGACAAAATGATAAATAAAATTGTTTTCCATGTAATTGATAAGCTGATCCCAAATGTAAATGGAAAAGCAGAGTCTAATCTAGACAAGACAAACTTGTAGAAAAGTAGAATAAATAAGAGGAGGAGAAGATGAGCTTAAAAAGGAATAAAAAACCTGTAATCCCAGCACTTTGGGAGGCCGAGGCAGACAGATCACGAGGTCATGAGATGGAGACCATCCTAGCTAACACAGTGAACCGCGTCTTTACTAAAAATACACAAAATTAGCCGGGCATGGTGGCGGGCATCTGTAGTCCCAGCTACTCTGGGGCTGAGGCAGGAGAATGGTGTGAACCTGGGAGGAGGAGTTTGCAGTGAGCCGAGATCCTGTCACTGAGCTCCAGCCTGGGCGACAAAGCGAGACACTGTCTCAAAAAAAAAGGAAAAAAAGGGAATAAAAAAGAAAAAGTAGAATTTTAAAAGAGAAGAAAAGGAGGAAGAGAAAGAAAACAGGCAATTTCTATTTAAAGATAAGTTTATGGTAATTAAAACAGTGTAGTATTGATAAATGAAAAAATAAGCAAACAATAGAACAGAATAAAGCACATAGAATCAGATCCACAAATATGACACTGTAGTATGTAAGTTACAGGGAATTACATACTACTGGAGAAGAAGTGACTCCGCTTAATGGCACTAGAATAACTGGGTATCCAAATGAATAAAAAGAAAATTTAGAATCTTATTTCAGATCAGACATAAAAATTCATCCCAGGTAGGCTAACACACAGAACTTTAAGGCATTTAAAACTGTTTGGATATTTTAATTTTTTTAAGTTGCTAAAAGATACAGCATCAAAAATCTATTTTATAAGCATCACTTTATTCCATCCCATGTGACTTCAAATCATTCTCTAACAAAACTTTTTTATATGCATGCATGCATGCTTTTCTTGTTTTTTAAATTGTAAACTAGTTATTAAAATATACATTCTAAAATTCTCCACTTTTAAATTAATTGAGTAACTTTTTCATTATTCAACATTTAAAATATCAAATAAGGGTAGCTTACATGTGTTGGTTACAGCTACAAGTCTTTAAACTTTTTCAAATGATACATTGGATAATATATTTATGTTTTAAAAAACTTGATTTCTTTCACCATCTATCATTTTCATGTGGGAGATCAGATGCAACACTGGAGGCAGAACTCAGACACCAGACCAAATTGAGGACTAGCTAAAACATGGCCAGGGAAGAAGTAGCTCTCCATAAGACATATATGCCAGTGTGCCATGCCAGTTCATTGCCATTGCAACACCTGGAAGTTACTGCCCCTTTCCATGGCAATGACCTGGCGATCTGGATGTTACCAGCCCTTTCCTAGAAATTTCTGTATAATCCACCTCTTAGTCTGCATGTAATTAAAAGTGGATATAAATATGACTGCAGAATTGCCATTCAGCTGCTACTCTGAGCACACTGCCTGCAGGGTAGCTCTGCTGTACAAGGAGCAGTATCTCTGCTGCTGCTGTACATTGCCACTTCAATAAAAGTTCCTGTTTAACACCACCAGCTTGCCCCTGAATTCTTTCCTGTGTGAAGCCAGGACCCTCCCTAGCTAAGCCTCAATTTTGGGACTTGCCTGCCCTGCATCAATTCTAAAGCGTTACATTTTTGGATATATTCTTTAAGAACACCCTTAAATCTTCATATAAATACTTGCATCTTCCTCTCATCCCTGTCTTCACAAAGAAATCTCTTTTTATGGTCTCCTTGTGAGCTTCTTTGCTATTTTCAAATGCCATGTATTTTGGTTATCTGTTGCTGTAAACAATCTCCCCCAAAACTGAGTGGATTAAAACAATAATTATTTAATTATCACTTAAAATACTCTTGGTAAGACATCTGAACAAGGCATAGTGGGTTTGGATGGTCTCAGCTTTATATAATGTCTGCTGGGCAGAATTAATACATGATTTACCAGGCCAGTGCAAAAAGAAGAAGTTGGACTTGTTCATAAATTATTAAGTATTTCAATTTAGTGATAGCAGAGCATTAAGCCAAGCACAGAAACCTTAAAGCATAGGAGCCTTCCGTGTAACTGCTCAGGTCACACATCTATAAAGCCTGCCCTGCTGCTGGTCATAAAACATTCACAATGGCTTTTACATCACATGCCTGATACCCCAGCTAGGATGGTTCAAAAAACTGGAGGCTGGTTAGCATGGCTTAACTTGGATCATACGTCTGGGATTTTGTCCTTACTGTCAGCTGGGTTTCTTGGTTCTGCTATATAGTTGTAGGACATTTTCCTCTTCACACAGCATCCCCACCTGGCCTGTCACCCTGGTTGAGGCTTCTCATATTCTGGATGCTGGGTTCTAAGAGGAAGAAGGTGAAAGCCACCTGTACTTTTTAAACCTGCACTTAGAAGTTCTCTGCATTTTATGCAGTAAAGCACTTCACATAGACAGCCAAGATTCAAAGAGAGGGTAAATAAACTATGTATTGATGTGCAAAGCAGAAAAGTGATGTGAAAGAGAAGGAATTTGGGGGACTATCATGTTACTTGCATAATATGAAATATGAGAAGTACTATTTAAAAAATAGTCACAGAACTCAGCATTTGAATGCAGATCTGTTTCATTTCAAAGTCCACATTCTTTCCACGACTACAAACTTTCTCTCAAGAATTAGGGGCTAGATTTTATTTTAAGATTCATATCAGGCCAGAAGGGGTGGCTCACACCTGTAATCCCAGCACTTTGGGAGGCCAAGGCAGGTGGATCACGAGGTCAAGAGTTTGAGACCAGGCTGGCCAATATGGTGAAACACCATCTCTACTGAAAACACAAAAATTAGCCGGGCATGGTCGTGCTCCCCTGTAGTCCCAACTACTCAGGAGGCTGAGGCAGGAGAATTGCTTGAACCTGGGAGACGGAGGTTACAGTGAGCTGAGATCCACCACTGCACTCCAGCCTGGGTGACAGAGAGAGACTCGTCTTAAAAAAAAGGAATCAAATCAGAATATAAAGGCACATTGTTATGGATTTTTTTTCAGAATCACAGTATACAAAACATACACTCACCAAATTTAATTAATGTGCAATAACCTGATGTTTTCGATTGGAACGATAAGAATTTTTTATTTTTTTTTAAGGCAGAGTTTCACTCTTGTTGCCCAGGGTGGAGTGCAATGGCCTGATCTCAGCCCACCGCAACCTCCGCCTCCCAGGTTCAAGTGATTCTCCTGCCTCAGCCTCCCGAGTAGCTGAGATCACAGGCATGCGCCACCACACCCGCCTAATTTTGCATTTTAGTAGAAACGGAGTTTCTCCATGTTGCTCAGGTTGGTCTTGAACTCCCGACCTCAGGTGATCTGCCTGCCTCGGCCTCCCAAAGTGCTGGGATTTACAGGCATGAGCCACCGCGCCTGGCGGAACTATAGGAATTTATCCATAACTTGACTAAGAAGGAAATGGTGAAATCTTCCCTTTCACCTTCTGACGCTTCACTGACAATCAGTGAACAAAAGGCAGATTTAGAGGAGAAAGGACATACAAATTTATTAATGTGCAAATAAGGCAAACAAAGGAATGTTAGATAACAACTTCATCCTGTACTTTGGGAAAGACAAAGGATTGAGGACAAAAGTGGGGGTGATTCTCAGAGAGATCTTGAGGCCTCTTCCTCAGTTCAGCATGTCAAAGCACCATATTTTGCGGTATCAGTTTCTGAGCCCCAACAACCCCTAATTTCTGAACTCCCATCCAAGTACTAACCAGGCACCACCCTGCTTGGCTTCCACGATCAGACGAGATCGGGCGTGTTCAGGGTGGTATGGCTGTAGACTAATTTCTGAACTAAAAGTGGGAAACATTGCTTTCATAATAGTAAGTGATTTCTGTAAAATTAGAATGACACTGTAATATTTCTATAATTTTTCTCACTTAAATAATATAACCTAGAAATTAGAAAACTACACTAAATTAAAAAGAAGAAAAATTGTATAAAATTTAGGAAGTGCAGACAATTATCAAATATTTAAATAATTTTTATTTCTACCACCCAGACTATCCACTAATAACATTCTATGCATACTTTGCATTACTTTTTTTTGTCATCACCATTGTATACATAGTATAAAAATAAAGGTTAGAAACATCTCTATTATATTAATCATTATCACCTTCCCCCTTATATAAATTACACTCTTTATCTATATCATTATGTTTATTTGCAATTCCTTTCTCATTTATCTATGATTTCCATGTCTTGGCCAAATGTTACCTGTTTTAATATAGGCATTAAAACACCTCATCTCCTGTTTTAGAGTAAATTATGGTTCTAGAGTCAAATTATTTGGTGGTTAATGGAATATAGAATATGAAACAGTAAAGGAAGCAGCATTATCTGAAATAGAAGAAAACTGAGGGAAACGTACTATCCCAAACCTCTAAAACAATCCTACTAGATTTTAAGTTGTTTCTTCCCAAATACTAACAACATCGTAACTTTCTTGAAAGTTAAAAAAAAAGAGAGAGATGTATCCATAATTTACCTGTGGGTCTAAAATAATTAACGGTTCATTGAAATTTTTGAAATTAATAGTTAAAATTACAATTATAACTTATGTTTATAGTTGAGACATCACTTTCTTGCCTTCAATAATATTTTTCTTTTTTGTTTTCCTGAGACTTTGGAATTTGAGATTCAAGTAGAATTCTGATTAATTTTCAAATCAAAATTGGAATATTTTAAAACATAAAGCTCCTAATACAGTGTGATAGGCCGCCTCTAATTTAATGTCTCTTGACTATTTTCCACTGCTACTCATATAAACTGTTTCAATGAGGCTCTGTGAAAACGATGTCTAACAGAACAACCGTATTTATAGAACAGAGTTTTCAGATTTTTTTGTGTGTCAATACATGCTGTGTGTCCTTAAACATACCCTGTATAAGTTCCAAGTGGAGTCATGCTCTGTCATAACAACCAGTCCAATTTTCCATTATATAAAAAAGTTAATTATGTATCTGTATTCTGAAGCAAACGTAAACGAGATGTGTAGCTGTATGAGAATTATTTCTCACTTATGACATCTACGTCTTATATTCCACATGGCAGATTTCATGAGCTTTTTATATTGTATAAATTTTGTACACAGATGAATCCCTGTGACAGAAAATTGTCAAATGTGTTTTCTCCTTTGAAACTCACTTCATCATTGTTAAAATCTCAATAAACAAAACTATAATGCTTTTTATTTCTCAACCCATCACTGAAACCTTAGAAAAACCATTGTTATTATTACTGTATAATCTAAAAATATAATTATTTCTAGATAATCTTTAAGAATTTGCATAACGGAATTTTTAATGAGATTTTTCTGGCTGTCTTGTTGTGCTGAAAACCCAAAACGAGAAATAAAGAGGAGCTATACTGGTATTTTCTAAAGAGAGCCACCCGCAAAAATAAAAGAACTAGTTCCTACCCCTTCTTCAGATAGGAAGAGGATTGGGAATGGGGAAAGCAGCACTGTAGTCCTCAGCCTTTGGGAGGTGCAATGTAAGTTTTTGATTTTGTTTGTTAGGACGGGGTCTCTTTCTGTCGCCCGGGCTGGAGTGCAGTGAGGCTATCTCTGGTCACTGCAACCTCCGCCTTCAGGGCTCAAGCAATTCTTCTGCCTCCACCTCCCGATTTTTGTGTTTTTTGTAGAGACAGAGTCTCGCAGTGTGGCCCAGGGGGGGTCTCCAACTCCTGGGCTCAAGCGATCTGCCCACTCGACCTCCAAAAGTGAGGGGATTACAGGCTGAGCCAACACTCCCAGCAGGGAGGTGTAATATTTATAGAGAGATTTTGTTTCCATTCCACTGGGAGGACGGAGCATTCCTTCTTCTGTGAGTGGGGTGCTCTCTCAGCTACTGTTACTCCTAACTCTCCAGTAAGGTGAAAGGTATAGAGCTTCCTGACTATCCACAGAGCCAAGGCAGCTACTTCTGCTGTTCCTAGAATCCCACAGCTAGACCCTTTTTTATTTGTTTATTTGGGGTAAGAAAATTGTTTTAGATTATCACTCTTCTCTATTCTGATTCTTGGCATTAGTTCTGCCAGCCTTGCTTTCAGTATGCCAAACTCAGTTTTAGAAATTCCAAACGAAACGTTTTTTCTCTCAATAAAGCCTATCATTTGGAAATCAAAAGCACTGTAACTTTCAAGCTATTGTTTGCAGTTTGGGCTTCTGAAAGCCTAATTAGGAGCTCAAAAGCCAGAATGCCTGCACCTGTATGTGAAGGAAATGTTGTTACCAGAACAATGGGTACAAGGAAGCATGTAAAACAATATCTTATTTAATACCATAAAATGTTATCCTGGGCTACTACAACTGACTCACAGAGCTCTGGTGGGGCATAACCAAAACCCAGACCCCATTGTTCTGCCTTCAGCCCAGGCATTTTTTTTTGTTTGTTCGGTGATTGTTGTGTTCTATGTCACTACATTACTTCTCTCAAACATGATCTCTAACTCTTTGTTTTAGACTTGACAAGACCACTTATGTAAGAGGCTTAGTACTCATCTTTATGACAGAAACTATTATATCAATTTAAAATGTAATCATTTTTGTAAACAGAATAATATTTTCATATTGCTGAAAACCAATATTGAAATTGAAAGCTATAGAAAACATCTCAATATAATTGTAGCCTGAAGACTTTCAGTAAACAAACTAAATAAATAAATAGGTTAAAACTCTCCTCTGCCTTTTGTTAGTGGTGTATAGTCTGCAAAAATTACCTCCTTTCTATAAAAATGAAACTAATAATGCTTACCAGAAAAAAAAATCATATTTCTAAGGTACTTTTGACAAGGGTCTGGCTAACCGAAACTAATTTTTTAAACTGATACAAATAGAATATTCTGAAAAAGAATCTCAAATTTGTAAAAAGTCATTTACTTTGACTTTTGTATTTAAGTGTGTATTTAAATATTGTCTCAGTTTAAAGATTTACTATAAAAAGAAATTTTTTTCATAGTAGTAAAAATAATAAGTGGTAATACTCAACTTATTAATATTGTAATCTCTACTACTCTTAAACATTATTTGAAGTAGATGATGACAATACTGTTCAATTATCCATGTGAAAATTCAAGCATTGTACTAACAGACACACACAAAAACCGGATTCCTACATCATATACTTCACTTGAAGAAGACATTTGAATGTTAGTATCATAAAAACATATTATGCTTTGCCTAAAGGCATCTAAGAAGTTTTTGATGTCTGAGCATTATGTAAATGATTTTTCTAAATATCTATTGTGGGTTTTCCTATTTGTTTTAATGTCAAATTGGATTTCACGATGCCCAGTAGGAAACTGAAGTTTTTAAGCCTGTAAACTATAATCATTTTTTATTTCATATCATTCTTCCATTACATAAAATGACATATACAACTACTTTCAAGTATGTGTGTGATTTCTGTATCTTTGTATATTCTTTCTGTTTCCAATAACTGTAAAATTTATTTAAAAGTGATAAAACATATTCAAAATGTTAATAAGTCCTGGGCTTCCTTAAATGTAGTAAATTCCAAACATTTATATTGATTAAAACCCCTCTATCATTAGAGATGTATATTAAAAAAATGCAATCTAAATAAAGATAAGTCTGGAGCCTTACAAAATATTAGTTAAAATGCACTGAATATCTTTAGATATACTTTCCATCTTTCTTTATCCTGCTCTGTTCTATAAAAGACTGACCCATAGAAACTGCATCCAACTGTTTCATTGCCTTCAGATTTTCTATTGGTTTTGGCCAATGGGTAGCCCCAGATGGAAATGGGAATGTAAGAAGTGAATGATGTCAGCACGTTTTCCCTGTTCTCTTACTATCTGATTGTCATTTGATTGTGCTCCTTTACTGAAGGTCATACTATTGCATTATTTAGACTCCAAATTGTTCACTTATAACTGGAATGTTCTTCTATTATTTATCTTTCCACTTTTCTGGAATTTCTTCAACAACTGACCTCACTCCCATGACGTTAAAGTTTCCTAACAGCTAGGATTAAATATTGACTTAGAGTAATTAAAAGGGTGGTACTTCCTGAATAAATATAACTTTAGGATTATAGATAAGATAGGTCCCTTGAGATACCTAGACTTCTTTAATTTCCAGCAAACTAGTAAAGATTATGAAAATGTACATTGTAAGACTGTGAAGATAGCTAGACAAAAGCAGTCTCCAACAAATCTAGATTTTTCTATAATCATGACACTAACTGTTCTAAGTAGTCAGCAGTACTGAAAATCCTAATAATACGGAATTTAAGGTACTCAAACATGTTAATGGGTTATGACCAGAGCTGAAAATTCATTTTGAAAAATCAAAGCTGTAAGACCCTCTCCCTGGTATGTTCTCTTAATACAATATAAAAATCACATCACTCTAAAGTTTGTCATTTCTACACCCTCTTGTATTTAGCAGATCAGACACCTGATAATAAGTTTGATAATAAGAGACTCTAACTCTCTTCATTGGCGTTTCTTACCTCCAATCTCACATAACTTCAATATCTTCTCTTAAATGGTCACCAGAGTGCTTTTTCTAAAACAAAATTGTCCATAAGACTTGCAGTAGCTCCCAGTCCCTATAAAGTTTGAGACCCTGATCCAATGCTCCCCAACACACTAAGCTATTTCAACTTCTTCATATTCTCTTGCTATTTCAGGTTTCTCAGGCTTTGATAATGTCATTTCCTCTGCCATAAATGTTTCTCCCTTTCTTGTCTACCTGCTATACACACAATCACTTTTCAAAATTCAGCTCTCATTTTGACAACATGACTGCTTTTTAAATTGTTACTATATCTTGCCCACAATGAAGAAATATATATCTGTTTTAGTGCCTAACCACATTTATTTATAATTTTATTTATTACATTGTGTTTCCCTCTACTGGACTGTGAGCTCCTTAAGGGTAGAGGCTGTACTTACTCATCATCATCTCTCCTACACTAGCTCAGTGACTGACATTAGAAACACAATACTGAATACTGAATGAATGGTGATGGAACTTCTGGGGCAGGTCTGATCTCCATCATTCTTGCTCCCTAGATGTACATTTAGTCTAGTTCATTGAGCAGACATTATTTTAAGATTTGAACTAAGCTAAAAGATGACTGTAAAAAGAGAAGGAAAAGAAATCCTTCTTCCTTACAAAATAATTCTAAATTATGTATAAATAATTTTATATATAATGTTACCATGTACCA
The DNA here is from genome assembly GCF_000001405.40 of Homo sapiens. NCBI lineage: Eukaryota > Metazoa > Chordata > Mammalia > Primates > Hominidae > Homo > Homo sapiens. Next base: position 188,282,271 of record NC_000002.12, read on the forward strand.
ACTACATGTACTAGTGTACATGTTACAACTAGTGTTACCATGTGCCAATATTACATGTTACATGCTACCAATACATGTTACAACTAGTGGGTAAAAGTTTAAGAGAAACAGCATACTTGTATTGTCTCAAAGTATCTCTCCCCAAATATTGATTAATTACCAAGGGAAAATAGTAACTTTACAGTGAAGAAACCTGGCAGACACCATCTATACTGACTTACCATTATTCGTGTGAACTCATGTCAATGTCACGTACCCCAATATGATGCAATGAGGATACTTTACTTTTGTGAAAATTTCCCCCAAAACTCATAACCCCAGTTTAACCATGAGAAAACAGCAGACAACCTTGATTTGTGGGACTTTCTACAAGATACTAAACCATCACCTTTCAAAAGTGTCAAAGTCATGAAAGACAAGAAAAGATCAAGGAACTGTCACAGATTAGAAGAGACTAAGAGACATAAATGCTATGTGGAATTCTGGAATAGAAAAAGGGCATTGATAGAAAAACTGGAGATATCTTTGAGAAGAAAATCTAGGAAACACTATTTTGGACATTGGCCTTGAGAAAATTTATGAGTAAGTCCTCAAAAGCAATTGTAACAAAAACAAAAATTGACAAGTGGGACCTAATTAACTAAAGAGTTTCTGCACAGGAAAAGAAACTATCAGCAGGGGAAACAGACAACCTAAAGGATGGGAGAAAATATGCTCAAACTATGAATCCAACAAACATCTAATGTCCAGAATCTGTAAAGAACTTAAACAATTAAGCAACAACCAAAAAATTTCACTAAAAATGAGCAAAAGACATGAACAGACACTTCTCAAAAGAAGACATACAAACAGCCAACAAACATGAAGAGCTGCTTCACATCACTAATCATCAGAGAAATCCAAATCAAAAGAACAATGAGATACCATCTCATACCAGTCAGAATGGCTAGATTAAAAGGTAAAAAAAGACAGAGGTTGGCAAGGCTAGAAAGAAAAAGTAATGTTTATACATTGTTGAGGGGAATGTAAATTAGTCCAGCTACTGTGGAAAGCAGTTTGAAGCTTTCTTAAAGGACTTAGAACTACCACTTGATCCAGCACTCCCTTTACTTGGTATATATCCAAAAGAAAACAATTAATTTTACCAAAAAGACACACAAACTCGTATGTTTATTGTAGCACTATTCGCAATAGCAAAGACATGGAATCAACTTAATTGCACATTAGTAGTGGATTTGATAAAATGTGGTACATATACACCACTAAATACTATACAGACAAAAAAGAATGAAATTATGTCCTTTGCAGCAACATGGGTGCAGCTGAAAGCCATTATCCTAAGCAAATTAACGCAGGAACAGAAAATTGAATACAGCATGTTCTCACTTATAAGTGGAAGGTAAACATTGGGTACTCATGGACATAAAGATGGCAGCAATAGACACTGAGGACTACTAGGAAGGTGAGGGAGACAAGGGCTGAAGGACTAACTGTTGTGTACTATGTTCAGTACCTGGGTGATGAGATCATTTGTACCCCAAACCTCATCATCACACAATACACCCAGGTAATACACTCAACATACCAAAACCTGTACATGTACCCCCAAATCTAAAATAAAGGTTGAAAAATAAAAAGAAAATCTGGGGATATCTGAATGAATTCTGTAGATTGGTTAAAAAATAAAAATAATCATAGAAATAATCATTATTCTTTCTAGACAAAAATAACACCAAAAATATTTTTATTTTTTCCAAGAAAAATGTACATCTATAGATTAATTTCAGCCAAAGCTATTGTTTTCCTTTTATTTTGACCCATATTGATTCAGTTTCATGAAAAACTTTCACTAACATATCAAAAGTTTTGATAGTTTTACCTGTTTCCATGAAAAGCCATTATTTATTTTATACTTACTTGCCAGATTATGCTAAGTGCTTTACATTTATTAACTCAATTAATCTTGACAACTGTTTCAAAAATAAGAAAACTAATATTAAAGTAGAGTGATACGGTTTGGCTCTGTGTTCCCACCCAAATCTCATGTTGAATTGTAATTCCCAATGTTGGGGAAGGGACCCAGTGGGAGGTGATTGGATCATGGGGGCAGATTTTCCCCTTGCTATTCATGTGATAGTGAGTGAGTTATCATGAAATCTGGTTGTTTAAAAGTGAATAACACTTCCCCTTTTGCTCTCTGTATATTGCTCTGCCATGGGAAGACATGCTCGCTTCCCCTTCTCCCTCCACCATGATTGTAAGTTTCCCGAGGTCTCCCAGCCATGCCTCCTGTACAGTCTGTGGAACTCTGAGTCAATTAAACCTCTTTTCTTCATAAATTACCCAGTGTCAGGTAGTTCTTTATAGCAATGTGAGAATGAACTAATACAGAGAAGAAAGTGACTTGTCCAAGATTTCACAGTCAGTAAGTAGTAGAGAATACATTTTAACCGTGACTTTGGACTCCAAAGCACATGCTTTAAAGCTTTATCCTATGCTTCACCCTTCAAAACTCAACAGCCTGAAGTTCACTTTTATAAGAAATATCTGAAGCTTAATTCGGTAAATAAAATTTAAGCCATGACAGCTTTCTTGACACTTTAAGAACTGTCTTATAAATCTATAAAATTGTTGATGTACATTTCACTAGTTCTCCCCCAAACTCATGGCACTCTACAAAAATATTTCAATGAAAAAAATTTAATTTTTTTCAAGATTTATTATGCTCTTCACTTGTATAATGTACAGATTTCCAAACAGAACACTGCATTTTAGGTAGGGGTGTTCATTTAAAAGTCCTTAACAATTTATTTTTATGTGGAAAATGGATGATCTTCACCTGCACTCTCAGTATACGTGAAAGATTTGTATAACTTTGAAATTGCTTCTGGAGGGTTTCATTTTTGAAATTGAACAATAGTCTTCTGCAGTCACACCCTCTGAAAACCTGCCAATTTCCATTGAACTGATAGCACTTTATCCGTGTGTATTCTCAGATTGCTGAGCTAGAGAGACTGTTGATGCAGAACCAGCATGGCAAGTCTCTGTTCCAACAATTCTTGCCACAGACTGCCTTTTACAGAAAAGCCACTCTCAGAATTATTTTAGCCCTGTTATGGAAAAGATACTCAATGAGAGAACGTCTTTTGTTGTTCGGTTGTGATAGGCGCTTTGCATTTTAAAGCATGATGACATTTTCTCAAATCACATTATGTCAGGCCCAAGCGTATAGGTGCCTTGCTTAGCTTTGCTTTTTTGTTAAGCCCTATCAGCAAGCCTGAGTAAATTCTGATACAGGATTTTGAAGAGAGTTAATAAATTAGCATTCTAGTGAAAGACTGCAAATCATAATTTTCAAATAAAAAGTTTCCTTTGTCAAAAATCATTTTAGACAATTTATTTTTTACTCTATTAAGAAAATAAGACTGTAATTCTATTTGCAATGCAATGTCTTTGTTCTATTTTTGTATTTTAAGTATGTGAGACTTCAAATGAAAAAAATATCTTCTTATCGCAGCAGTTTTTCAAGCAAGTAAAACTGCTTCAAGCAAATTTTCTAGGCCTGAAAGCTCTGTGGCAGAAGACCATACCTCAGGAGTCTATTCCTGGACATTAGATTGGGCCTTTCCATGAAGCTGAGTGTTAGCTCCTGTCTTTTGGTCATGGCTGGACTCCATATAAGGTATTCATTCACTATCATCTAGAGTGCACATGAACTGGAACAAGAAGCAGAAATGTGACCCTTGATTAAGATCTGTGCTTTCTCTCATTACTCGTGTTAAGTAGGGCTCTTCTATTCCAAGTATTATTTATGTCCTGCAATTGTTGTAGAAAAATGGCCCTTTCACTCTTAGCAACAACATGGAACTTAACAAGTGGTAATTTAATAGATTGGAGAGTAAAAATATAATTTGAATGGGTGCAGAGTCAGGTCTTTTCAAGTTGAAAAAGCATCCTTTTTCAGGATCAGAAGAAAAAATTGAATAATGAAGTGAATTCAAGTAAATTGATACATGAGTTGAACACACTTCTAACAGAAGACTTTTGTGGGCAAAGGTAGGAAATAGGAAGTTGTGACAAGGAAACTTAACAGAATGGATCCAAAGTTCATTTGGAAAAATAACTTTGAGAGAATAGTGATGAAACCTTTGAAAGGGGGAGAAAATAATAAAGGAGAATTTGCCCCAGTAGATATTTTAAACAATGATAGTTTGAGATAATTAATAATGTTCTATTGCAGAAATACACTGACTATTAAATGGGAAAGGACTACCGCTAGCCCACATGATGCCCAATTCTTTCCAAGGAAGCTCTGCAGGTGCTTGGCTAGGAGCCGAAGATGCCTTTGTAGTTAGAAAAGATATCCCTTTCTTCTTGCTCGCAAGCTCCATTGGCTTGGCTGGCAAAAGAGCTTGGCTGGATTTTATTCTGCACTGGACCTTTTTTAGGTGTCTTACTGCATTTTGCATGCTGTTTGACCACACCTGGAAGTTCTGATTGAACAGACCCTGTTTTATATCTAAGTTAACATATGATAAAAATTACTGCTAAAATCACTGGACAAAGAATGGATCTATTCAATATGTGGTGTTGGACACCTAGGTCATTATTCTGGGGGAAACAAAAGCCCTATCTTTAGATTTCACATCAGAATAAATTGAAAAACGAAAACTACAAAATACTAGAAGAAAATATTGCTAATTAGTTTGGGTGAAATGTCATTATATTTTTTAAAAACTCAAGAAATCATAAACCGATTACATTTAAAGAAATTCTACATAGTTTTAAAATAGAACAAAATAATTTAATTATTTTAATTAAGTTAATAAGACAAATACCCGTTTTTTGGCTAGAGGTTAATATATTTACCTCATACAGAACCTTTAAAAATCAATAAGAAAAAGAAAAAATATATGAAACAATAGAGAAAAGAGAAAAATGTACAGAATATATAAATAGCCACCTCACAAAAGAAAATATAAACGGTTATTAACTTTATGAAAACTTATTCAGTTTTATTAACAGTGAAAGTAATAAAAATTAAAGCGATTGAGCTGCTAATTTTTCACTAAGATTATTTGAAAATTTAAGTGTTTGGAGAAAAAAAATTAAGGGCCAAGATGGAATAGTTTACATGATGTCATTTAGGTAAACGAAAAATGCATATGAAAATAAATATTTTGAAAGAATACTTACAAAAAAGTAGTAGTATGGGCCGGGCGCAGTGTCTCACGCCTGTAAGCCCAGCACTTTGGGAGGCCGAGGCGGGCGGATGACGAGGTCAGGAGATCAAGACCATTCTGGCTACGGTGAAACCCCGTCTCTACTAAAAATAAAAAATAAAATAAAATAAAAAAATTAGCCGGGAGTGGTGGCGCGGCGCCTGTAGTTCCAGCTACTCAGGAGGCTGAGGCAGGAAAATGGCGTGAACCCGGGAGGCGGAGCTTGCCGTGAGCCGAGATCGCGCCACTGCACTCCAGCCTGGGCGACAGAGGGAGACTCCGTCTCAAAAAAAAAAAAAAAAAAAAAAAAAAAAGGAGTAGTATGTACGTTATACTTCCACATGAAAAAAATGGAAAGAAAATTGTTAAGTGTCTGTGGGTGCTGGGTAATGCCTTTCCTCTACTCCTGGTTTCCATGCAAAAATATTTTACTGGGTCTTTACTTACTTGCCCTTGGAGAGATGTTATGACATTTGGTAGATAAACTTAGGAATAAACTTGGGAAGAATTGCTGGGCATGCCAGGCTCAACTACCTTTCTCTCTCTTTCATTCTTTGGAATAGAACTCAAAAAACAATTTAAATCCTTTTTCAAAGGCACTGTCTCCTTTCAGGTTAGAAGGAGGCCAGGAACTACGTTGACTGAGGCTGCTGTTTCAGTTCTTTGCTTTTGGATCTACCAATTCAAATCCGTTATCTGTCAATCATAGAGTAATATTTTGCTCTCATTTTTTTGGTCAATTTATTCCCCACCCAGGCATAAAGAAGGGATACTATTTATCCGGGTCTCTCAGAGGCCTCAACAAACCTTGGAGCATATAGAGAAAATGTGAGCAATAGGTACTTTTGGTGATGGGAATACAGGTGATATTTATTTCCCTTTTGCAGTTGCCCTCCTATTTTTTTTTCTTTTTTTGCAATGGTCATGTTTCATGTTCTTAATCAAGAAGATCAAAATAAAGCGATTCTTTCAGAATGACAGATAAAATGATAGAGGTTTGAAGGTAAATGTAACACAGTAACTTTGGAACCCAGAGCCCCTAGGAACTCATAGGATATTTGGCCACTGTTACACATGACAAACAGAAACATGACCCCCTTTCAAATCACATGACTGAAATTTGAATTTCAGTCTTGGTTTTCATTACAGTTTTTAAAAAGTTGTCAAATACTTTAAATGTTGGTTTTGCAGAAATATAGGGCTAAACAACCAGCATATTTTTTGTGTGCTTTTGCAATAATCAGAAATAAAATTGGTTTTCTTAAGGTAAGTAACAGGTCGTTTTTTTGTCTTAGCCAAAGTTCCCTTAGTTAGGGTAAGAGAAACTTAATTCTGGTTTGAGCAAGAAAATTAATTTAAAAATACTGGAGGCCAGGCGTGGTGGCTCACACCTGTAATCCCAGCACTTTGGCAGGCCGAGGCGGGTGGATCACGAGGTCAGGAGATTGAGACCATCCTGGCTAGCAGAGTGAAATCTTGTCTCTACTAAAAATACAAAAAAAAAAAAAAAAAAAAAAAAAAATAGCCGGGCATGGTGGCGGCCGCCTGTAGTCCCAGCTACTCGGGCGGCTGAGGAAGGAGAACGGTGTGAACACGGAGGCGGAGCTTGCAGTGAGCCAAGATCGCACCACTGCACTCCAGCCTGGGCGACAAAGCAAGACTCCGCCTCAAAAAAAAAAAATAAATAAATAAATAAAAATAAAAATTACTGGAAAGCTGCTGAGTTTCTATCAGGGTCTATATGAACCTATGATGAATGTGAAGAACTTTCAAATGGAAATCTGAGGTATTTGCAGTAGGTAAAATTAGGCGTATTTGTCATCGTAGTGCCCTGCTAGGCTTCTGCAACCCTTTTCTTTGGCATCTCCCTTCTTCACTTCCTGGGGCATGCTATAAATTTGTTTTAAAATCTTGTTCCATTTGGTTCTATTGTTTTTAAAAACTTGGTTCTGACACTCTTGAGATTTTTATACCTCTAAGCCATTTCACAAAGAAGATCATATCAAAAGTCAGGTTATAAAAATTACAAAGCAATAGCAAGTTTAAAGACTTTAAACAGTGGGAGAAAATATAAAAGTGAGTAATCTTTAGCACTGTATGTAACGATTGGAAAAAGACAGTTATGAGGACTCATCTATCTTCATTTATCCATTCATGATGGATGTGCTTTGTAGCCATATTTTTTTTTCCCTCTTTAGGATCTTCCAAGTCTTATGGATAGGAAAGACAGATCTCTAAAGAGGCTATGATATGCCTTTAGGAAACTGAGGATGAGGCCGGAGTAGTAAATAACTCTTACTTAGAAGGAGTATATAGGGTCTCATCCCTGAGAACATGGGAGTTAGTTATGTAAATGTTCAGATGATTTTCAACATTGTATATGGTAAGGAAGAATTTTTTAAAAAGACCTTCTTACAGGTACTAGAGGCAAATGAATGAGAAATAAGTACATGCTATGGGATTTTCCATTATTTCACAGGATGGAAAGTTTGATCTCTGTAGCCTGATTTTGTTCTTTGGCCTTGAACTTGTTCAAGTTGAATTGTGTGTCCTGAACACTGATCTAGTTGTTCACAAACTAGGGTCAGCCAACTGTAGTGGTATGTTGATGTATTCTTGGGAATCGAGAGTTATTATAATCTTTTAATATTATGGCTAAAAAACCCAAAATATCTATGTGTAAATATATAATGTAAGCATGGATTCGTTCATCTCATCAACCTCCTTATTCCTAAATACTGGACTACCATTTGTTTTATTTTTATAATCACATTGATACCAAGTGATCATCTAAATGACATTATTTAATTTTTAATGATTGTTCATAAATTAATTGCTTAAGAGTTATTTACAGAAAAAAACTAGCATTTGTCCTGAGATTAATATTTTTAATATAATTATTTTTATGTGTGCTTGACTATTGTGATAAAGAGAAAAACAGTTAAAAGAGGACCCCAGCCAAGTTATTATGAGGACTGATTTCTGATATTAGCTTTAGTACCTCCAAACCATGAGATTTGGGGAAAGTCACTTAAGAGCCCTAGACTTCAGTTACCTTGTATTTAAAATAAGGGAGTTCAGCTGGAACTAGTTAATCTGTAAACATAGTTTCCATTTCAAAAATTGTGAAATGATGCCTTTTTAAATGGAAAAAGCATTAAGGAGAAGAAAACTGATTCAGTTACAGGGTCTTTGGGGGAAAATTTCTAGCACCACCCTCTCTCCTAATTACAGTAAAACATGGTGGGATATAAGAACCAAATATTTATTGAGTATTTTCTCTGCGCCTATCACAACTCTATTTTAACTCCTGTAAATGTGACTGTGACTCCGTGAGCTAGATTATAGAATTCCTGTTGACAGTTATAATTGGTAGGCACAGAAAGCGTAAAGATGGAGTTTGGAATGGAATCTGGCCTGTCTGACTCTAAGCCCTGGATCCACTGTAATACATTATAACTGCTAGCTTTGCAAAATGCCTTTTTCCTTTTCTCATCTATTTTCACACTCAAACTAAAATTTAGTAAACTAAATTCTGAGCAGCAGAAAAAATTTTAGTAAAGGTCCTCTCATCCTTGAAGAACTTCTTATATAAGGATACTCCTTCTTGCTCCCTTTCCCACGCAGAACTTTACCAAAGGTCAGTAAGAATGGGCTGTTGTGTTTTCTCTCAAATCCTATACAGAAGTCCTTAATTCCGAGGTAAACATCTGAATGGAACAAATGAGTATGATCTGGGGGTTAAGGCAATTTTCAAGTGTGTGTATGTGTGTGTCTGTTTTAAGGCATAACAAAGTCCAGAGATTAAGGCCGAGTTAAAAAACAAATGAGGACAAACCAATGAGGACAAACCAGTCCGCTGAGGTGCGGCCAGAGCAGCAGCAACTGTGGCTGCTTTCTTGATAAAGGCTGTGAAGACGGCACGTTTTACTCTTATTCGTGTATTTCTTTTGACACTTTACCCCTCTATGAAGCCTCAGAGGTGTTTTAAAATTGTGTTAGGAAACACACAGAGATAAGAAAAGGCAAATGGTCCTGATCTAGTGTCTCAGGGAAGAGGCTGGAAAGGAAACGCGGCGCGAGTGGGGTGGGAGAGGGGGCCTGTGGTTTTGCTTCTGTCCGGGCTGAAGACTGAGTAAGGTAGGGCCCCTCCTTCTGCGGATGGGTTTCTCTCTCATTCCACCCTCCACCCACCTCCGGTTCCGCGTGCACGCGCGAGATAGTCCAGTGGGCCCACAGATAACGACCATCAGAGATTAAAGAAGGAAAGTCAGCGAGCTTGAACACAGGCGTCCCGTGTGGAAATGTCCAAGGAGACCGCCAGAAGTGCGCAAGCCGGAGTCGGCTAGAGTTTCCTTCTCACCGAGAGGGGGAGCCCGGCGTTCCCGGCCGGGAGCGACCCGGAGTCCCCAGCCCCGCGTCCCAGCTGCCGCCAGCGCCAGTTTTGGATTCGGCGGATTAGGAAGAGGAGGGAGGGGGGAGAGAGCGCGAAGAGGGAGGGGACCGAAGCTGGAGGGTCCCGAGTCCAGCGCCGTGTTGGCGTAGAGAAACTTTCCCTCTCGGCCTCGGAGACGGCGCCCCGGCCGTGCCGGAGTGGAGATCGCCAGGCTCGGAGGAACCGGCAGCTCTCCACGCCCCTGCCCGAAGCCTGACCCGACTGCCTCTCTCAGTGAGGTACGGAGATTTATCTAGGCTCTTCCCTGGCTGCGAACCCAGGCTCCCTCCAGGTAGCGTGGAATCGCTTAGAAGCTGATATCCCGAGGGGCGGTGGGGGTGGACAGCTCCGGCCACCAGTGCCCGGGAAGGAGGGCGCGGGGCTGCGCGTAGCCGCTGGCCAGCAGGTTGTAAAAAATTAGGACAGCTAAATGCTCAGGGAGTCGTCCAGCACTAAAGGAGGCTAAGACCTGTTGACGCCTGCTATGGCAGCGCTTGAGAAATGACTGGGGGAGTCCAGCGAGGTCGGGGACGCAGCGGTCTCCGGGCTCCAGAAACCTCCTTAGCCTTTTGTGGTAACTTTGGTCCGGCGGCGGGGGGCCGGTGAGCAGGAACTGGAGGGAGGCGGTGGGGAAACCGTGGATCCGTCCGGCTGAGGGTGCGTGGATCAGACTGGGCTGAGCAGGCAAGTCATCGTCGGGTCACAGCGAGGCGACCCAGGAGCGAACTTCCAGGGCAGCCTCCCTTTTGTTGGCGCTGGGAGAGAATGTGGGCATGGGGGTGGGGAGGCGCGAAGCTCCGAGGCCGGGCCGCGGATACTTTAAAGCTCAGAGCTGGGAGGGCCCAAAGGAAGGGGCGGCGTCCACATGGTTACCCTTCTGCTGCGCGGGTCAAGTAGCTTCTTCTGGAGGGCGCAAGGCGCGGCGGGGGTGATGAGCCCTTGGGTTCTCGCTCCGACTGCTAAATTCGCTTGGCCGGGTCCACCTTCTCGTGGCCTCACTCGCCACACGGATCAGAATCCGGAGCAGGCAGTTCTCTCTATTCTGAGGCTCCTGCGGCTGCCGCGCTGACTTCCCTGTGTGCGGGAGGGAACTCTGGGCAGGCTGGTTTTCTTGGAATGTGTTTACGATGTTGAATGGGACTTGAACAGGAAGCTGGACGCTGCAGCTGGAACTAGCGTGCCAAGGTAGAGTAAGGAAGACTTAGCTGGTGTTGGGCTTGGCGGGTCCACTTGGTACGCTGGGCAAACTCCAAGTAAGTGAGGGCTGGCAGTCAAGGTACCCCTCCCTAGGTCCTAGTAGTGTTTCCCAACTGAGCTCGCCTTACTCATTTGCAATCAGACATTTTACATGCACTATTTCAATCTGCAAGTTTGACAAAGTGTAATGCAGTCAATTAGGAAGGATTTAATAAATTTATTTTGTGCCTGCTTTTAAAATACGTTACACCAACATTTGAGAATAAAAAGTTACGGAGAATGTTCAAGTCATGACTGATTTCTAGGACTAGCAGGAGACAATACTGATGATTTTGTGTCTGTATTACAAAATGGGTGATTAGGTGCTAAAGTAAGGGAGATTATTAGACAGAGTGAATGTGAGGAAGTGGAAAACTTTCAGAGGAATTGGAAATTCTTCAAATTTGCAAATTGCTCCCTTTCTCTGCCAGTCTTTCCCTTTTCCCCCCATATGAACAAGTAGCCTTGGCTGGAAAACCCACAAATTGGGAGAGTGCAGTCGCTGGTGACTACAGGCTTTGCTGGAAACAGCAGACAGGCTAAGGTACTGCCCCACTGCATAATTAAAGGTCTCCTTGAGCTGTCCAGGAGTGTTTTCCAAGTTTTTACGACTGACAAGGAAAAAAAGAGAGGAACCTGGCCGGCAGCCAAACTAGACTGAGCTCAGTAGCCAGGCATGAAAGAGACTGGGCAAGTTGCAGGGGCTAATTGGAAAGGGGCTGTCGGTTGCACTTGGGGTTTAAACAAGAGGTTTCTTTTGCAATGAGAATTTTTAGGTGGCTAAGATCAGTCTTCTTGGCAAAAAAATAAACTAAGCATAGAGTGCAGTTGGATATGACCGAGGAAATTACAAAAAGGGCTCCAGGAGCAAAGTCTGAACTTTCCTTATCAGTGTTGCAGTGGAATAGCTGGGGGCCTGATGCTGTTTGTGCTGATCATACTTTGCAAATGCCCACACTTTGTTGCTGTTTGTCTCCTTGGACGAGGTTTGCTGCAACTTCAATTCCTTGACTTCGGCCTTACTTTGTTTTCATAGCAGCAAGAATTGAAGACTTAAGGGTTTGAGCAGATGGTTTTCTACCTAAATTGAATAATTCAATTACGTATTCTCAGCTAGCATGGATTTGGGTCATGGAATTAAAGTAGAAACGTATCCGGCATGACTTCTTTGTGCTTATCAAAAGTGATCCTGATAAACAGATCTTGCTCTTTCATGTAAAGAAGTAAAAGGTGAGATGATCTCAGTATTTCACACATTTGCCCTTTACTGCTTCCTAATTCCAAACCAGCTAGGAACTCAAAGCCTTAACTGCAATTCAGACTCTTCTTTGTGTATTAAAGTTGTGTATGTTTCATCTCTCTTTTTTTTTTCTTCAGAGAGGTGGGTTGTAGGTTTACTATTGTGGGCTTAGGGGTTAAATGGTTAAAACAAACAAACAAACAAACAAACTAATGTGGTTTATATTTCCTCTGTATTTAAGAGTTTGAGATTGTGAATATTAGCCTGCTTTCTGAGACTCACTTTGTGAATCACCCTCAGCCAAATGTTTTCCCTGACTATGATTTCAGTTTTTCCACTTGCAAAGTAAAGAAACTTTCCTTTACATAATTACAAGATTATTGTGAGAATTAAAGAGATGAAATAATGTTAATAGGCTTTTCGACATAAAGGTCATAGGATTTCTGACTCAGCTGACTCAGTTGAGTTTATGGGGATAAAATAGGAATACTTCTATGTTGAATACCCATGTAATAATGACATATCTGGATCTAATTTATAAAAATTACCACTTTTACATTTTAATCATAGCTTTAATTTAATCATACATTTTAATTTTTGAGGATATAAGGGAGATTTTGTTATGGTTAAGGCTGAGTCATTTTCTCAAACAGAAAAGAACAATTAGCACATTCATTTATTTTTATTTCAGTTTATATTTATACACAAGACCAGTTATTTTTAAAGTCCAGCTTAATTTTACCTTTATGAGAAGTTACCAAGTATATTCACAGAACTTGGCTCTCTTCTCAGAAATAATGCTTGAGAAGCTGAAATATATTTATGACATACAAACAGACTTTCTTTTCTTAATGGCCACAACAATTTCCTTAAGAATTTGGAGGATAGATTTTGGAGCCATTCATTAATAAATCCAGCCAATGTTTGTTGCATGCATATCATGCATCATCGGGCCTGTATTCCAATCAGCACCGAACTTCTCAGCTCTGTGATTTCTGTGCATGTTATTTTACTTCTTAAACATTTTTCCAACATATCATTTATTGCCTATGTTTCTGTCTATAATTTATGAGCCTGTTCATTGTTGATTCATTATGATCATTGTGAAATATTTACTTTTTAGTGTGACATGTCAATTAGTAAAATATACTACATATTTTTATGGTTCATTGTACTGTGCTACAGTCATGGATGTTTAACTTAACTCTTTTTCGGGTGAACAGATCAACTTATTAGAGAAAACAGAATAAGTATAGATAAATTGTTTAAAGGATAAAGTCTTTTGCTAAAATACCTAGTCATAGCTTTTATTTTTAGACTTTATATTATAATTAATAGTGAATCTGTAAAAAGCACGTGTATATGGGATATAGTAGTTGGGTTGAAACTTACACTATGGGTATCCTTGAACAAGTGGCTGTTTGAGGATATATTAGGGTAATTTTAATATAAAATGTCAAATTTTACCTTTCATTTTAAATTAGAAATCCTTAAAATTCTTATTTCCATTGATGAATGGTAGGTGATTTTAATTTAAATTTTACTTAGCAGAGTGATGTATTTGTGATTCAATTCGCGATATTGCAATTTGTTTTCTAAAACCTCTAAAGAATAAAAAAAGTTATTTTATTTCAGTATAATAATGAATTCAAAGATAGTTACAGAAGCTAACTGCATAACTGCCATGAGCCCTGGTCCCTAAACGTATTAGAGGCTGGTGGATCTAATATTGTTTGCCTTAATGCATTTAGAGATCAGGAAACTTAAGCTTTTTCCCATAAGAGCATAAAATATACTCAGATTGGAAGAGGAAAAAATGGTATAACTTTGAATGGAGAAATCGCTTCACTTTCAAATACTGGGGATATGAAATTGAAATCAGGCCTTTATTTTTAAAGAGAATGGCTAAAAGTCATTGTTCCAGAGTAAGACTTAGAAAACAATGCTTATACTGTTTTCAGGCCCTTGTTATTTGCGAGTTTTTTGTTTGTTTTATGCCTAAGAAATGTTTTCAGCCACTCTAATGATGCTTACCATGCATGATTGTCATCAGAGGACAGTTAATTGACTCAAATATTGTGTGGGATAGTAAGTGTCAATTTTCTGTTTACATTGAAATGGTATAGTTATGGCGAATTTGAAATTAGTTTTGTCTTTCAGTGTAGTATACTTAAAAATAGTTTTGAAAAGGCTGCCCTAATTTGCACACATAATATGAATAAGTAAGTTAACTTATATAGAAATTAAGATTTTCAGTATATTTTGTGCTAAATTGCAAAGATTAATATGGCTTTTTAAAGGAAGTTTTGAATAGCCTTGTATGTATTTTCTAGGATGCAACTAAGAGAGTGCATCTAGATATCAATACCTGCCTTTATTTCATGTTTGTTTTTTGCTATTAACATTATATAAATGTACCTATACATCAGCTGTATCATATACCTCCTGATGAAGAAGTTCAGAATAGACCTTAGAAACTTCCATATTTTGGGGGACTACTTTCTCTCTGTCTCTCTGTCTCTGTCGTTCTCTCTCTCTTTGTCTGTCTCTCTCTCTGTCTCCATTTCTTTCTCCCTTTCTGTGTGTGCATACTTATGATACATATATATTCTTTGATGTTTCTCTATTTGTGCTATAGTTTTTCTGTAGGGAAAAATAGCTTCAGTTAATTGATATTTTTGAGCCCAATTTTAACAACTAATTAAAAATGTTTCCCAGATAAGTATTGCTAGAAATCCTAGAAATCCTTTTTTTTTTCTTTTTTCCAAATTCTAAAAGTGTTTTTAGACTTCTATTTATACCTCCGAAAGAAGAGAAAAATAGTTGGCAAGATCTTCTACCTACATTCTTTGTTGTAGGCTCTAATGATGGCATACTCATGGAAGCCCTTTCTACTCTTCTTAAGTAGAACACAAGCACATGTACAGTTAACTACTGTAAGAAGGTAAATTCACTACTTAGAAGTTAGATACTACTGATAAGTTTATCAGGTATTGTGAAGTGAGAATTTTATACAAATGTAGTGTTTTCCTGGTATGGTACAGCTTTTTCTTAATATTAGGTGTTACAGTTGATCCATTTCTTGAAACTTCATCCACCAGTCCTCCAGGAACATCAAGGATCTTAAACTTTGCCAGAGCTACAAAGGCAAAGTTTAAGATCCTTGAAGTTCCTGGGGGAACCATGGATGGCTATCCTTATTTCTATAAGAGAGGAGACTGAATACTGTGGGCTCAGTCTTCAGTCTACCCTCTTATAGAAATAAAGACAATCATTTCAGAGCATACATAATCTACTGACTGAATCATTAATGATTTGCCTGTTTATAGCTGTATAATATTTCATGAGGTGATAACTATTGTTCTCATTTGGTTTGTATTTAAATTAGATAATATCAATTTTAAATATAATTTTAGCCAAAAAAAATCAAACAGAACATTTGTAGTATGGTAGCAAACGTGCAAATTTGGGATAAAAAATTGAAATAAGAGAATAAATGTGATTTTAGCTTCTCAATTTTTTTCATAGCCATTTATAACCATCAAGAGATACCATGTTTTAAGTAAAATTTTAATAGCAAATAGGTTCATTTACCCAGATTTCAACCTAGGTGAATTAAAACATAGGGTTATAAGTACTAATGAGAGTTTTAAGAAACAGTATTTTGTAAAGTATCTTTGAAGGTCAAACTACATGTTATGCTCTGTAATTTATTTTATTTTTGTCTGCTTTGAGGAACTGTGTAGTAATAAAGGACTTTGGTTGATGATCAAACTCTCCTTTTACTTCCTTGATGATGTGTGTTATTATAGTCATAAAGATGTCCAATAACATAAACACTGAACTTTACTAGTAGTGCAAATAAATACAGAGAAAGTTTGGCTGATTAGAAAGAACAATTGCATAACTGAATTAATTTCAAAGCAATTTATCTCTATGCTGAATATGTTAATTAAATATAATTAGAGGGTGTTTATGGATTGTAGTATCTCAGAATATAGTTTGAGAGAATTTTTAAGGAGTCACATTTGAGTAAACAAATTTTATTTGAAATTACGTAAATGCAATATGAAATGGCAAAAGTCTATTGGTATTTTAGATTTATAAAATAGCATTGTTTTAGAGTAACAATGGCTATTGCTTTAAATTTTTATGAATTATTTTTTCTGTTTTAATGCATCACCATGACTGGATATGTAGGAGAAAAACCTTTAAGCTTCTTAGCAGTAAATCAGTAAGAGGTCTCATATTGCTAATGTCTTTAGTCATTTTAAAGGAAGAACTACTAAATTTGTAAAATCTGAGTTATCATAGGTTTAGCTGATTACATTAAGCAGACTAGGAAATTCATGATCAATTTGGAAAAATAAAATTTTCTAGAGTAGTACAGATGAGGTTTTAGAGAACAACATTTTAGACTTGATGTTGTTGGAAGTAAATGCTCGGTGCTGCCAAGTGAATATAGCACTCAGGCAAAAGTTTGCTCAGCAAGGCAATTTACTTCTATAAAAGGGTGCCTCTCACGGATGGAGCAATGGCAAGAGCACACCAGACAAGGGAGGAGAAGGGGATCTTACTATTAATGCAGCTAGTCCCTACTGCTTGTTTTTCCCCTATTGGGTAGGGTTGGACCGCACAGTCTAAGATAATTCCAACTGGCTATTTTAAAGACAGCAGGGGTATGAGCTGGAGTGGCGGGGTGAGAAGCTTTGGTGGGAAGGACGGTTACAGAGCAGGTGACCAAGGATGACTAAGGACAGAGCAGGTGACTAAGGAGGGAGCAGGTGACTAAGGATGACTAAGGACAGAGCAGGTGACTAAGGAGGGAGCAGGTGACTAAGGATGACTAAGGACAGAGCAGGTGATAGAGGCTAGGAGGGGGTTGTTTACTAAAGCTAGGGACAAGGAGATGTAAAGAACGAGGAAGTTAAACTTTCAAATGGAAAACAAAGAACAGGGAAGCTCAATATACTAACATATTGGTTCTTTGAAGAGGAATTTACTGTATCCTACAATGTAATGAATCTTTCTTTGGGACTTTCTTATTCAATGAGATTTTGTCTTTATTCAGTGATTTTCCATTCACTTAATATACATTTGAAGTCTTTCCCCCCTTCTCATTCTGGGAAATATAACTGTGTTTAAACTGTGCATCTGCAAATAAAGAGATTCTGATATGATACAGTTGAATTTAATAAATACTTATCAAATAACACTTGTTCTTTTTGTAGTTGTGTGATTAGTAGGTGACAGAGACCTCCTCTTATTAACTTAAATAGAAGTTGGTATTTCTATATAATTCTGAGGTACAGTGCAGAGGATGTTGAGGAAGGAGGAGTGGGGAAAGCGGGTATTCACCAGTGTGAAGGGAAGCAGTGTATGGAAAGAATGTGTGCAGGTGATTCTTAGACCAAGTCACAGAGGATGAGGATGAGTTGGGCAGGCATTGAAAAGGGACAGTGTCAGTCAGAGCAGGTGGGATAGGCAAGAAGGCATGAAGCCATGAATGTGGTTTAGGAGAACAACTTGTGGATTTTACAGTTATAGAGATGTTCCTCCTTTATGTTTCCATGTTCATGAACTAACCATTAGTAATTACATAAAGGAGTTTTAGCTGGATTAATAGTTTTAGCTGAATAATTTTAGCTGGATTATCTTGCAAAACAACCATCTTGTTTTTCTTTCTTTTTTTCCATTTCTCCAGACCTGATCAGCATGTAATTGGAATCACAAGGAGTAGGTTGTGCTCTCGATTTCATATTTATATTTAATTTCAGAACATGCAAATTAAAAAAATTTTTAATCACAGCATTAACTATATTGGGAGGAGTTATGATTTGGCTCTGCATCTTGTCTTATATTTGTTTATTTTTCATATATAAAGAACAGATGTGTTAAATAGTTATCTACTTGGTAGTAAGTAACTGTGCCAGTATTAACAATTTTTATGAATAATATTGAAAAAATAATTTTTTTCTGAACATATGGAAACTTGATAATTTTTCTATGCATCATTGACTTATTTAAGATTATATATTTGGTTATATGGTGTGGATTACTTACTGATCATTGTTGATAAAAAATTTAAATGTGTGCTAAGAAGTTTGGAAAACGAATTTAGAATATGTACAAGTACAACAAATTACTATCTTATGAAGGGGACCTATAATTAAAACATATATAACATAATTTAGTTCGCTATATTCCCTTCTTTTTGCTTGGCTTGACCATTCTGTGAGATACATCTATTTTAAAATTAGTTTATTATTGATGTTTGATTTATTTGAAACTAATGATTCAACTTTATTTTTGAAGTATGTGACAAGAGCAGTCTCTTTAAACTTGTTAATTTGAAATAGTTAATATATAGAGCTTCACATTTATAAATCAGTTTAGTAGGTCTGGACCACCTTGAAGTTCCAGGGATGGGTCTAAGGTAATAGTTTTGTACTTGAAAATTGACAATACTGTCAAGATCACAATAAGAAATAACTGTCTTTCAGTCTCTTTCTGGCTTTTGGCTTCACTTTGTGTTTTCTGTAATGGTAAGCATCAAGCACCACTGACACTTATTTGCTTCCTTCTCCTGTTGAATGTCCAGGTTCCTGTTTATTTATTTATTTATTTTAGAGACAGGGTCTCACTCTGTCACCCAACCCGGAGTGCACTGGTGCAATCATAGCTCACTGCAGCCTCAAACTCCTGGACTCAAGTAATCCTCCCACTTCAGCCTCCCAAGTAGCTGAAACTATAGGTGCATGCCACCATGCATGGCTAATTTTTAAATTTTTACAATTCCTTCTAGAGACAGGTTCTCACTGTGTTGCCCAGGCTTGTCTAGAACTCCTGGGCTTAAACAATTCTCTGGCTTTGACCTGCCAATGTGCTGGTATTACAGGTGTGAGCACTGTACTTGGCTCCAAGTTCCCTTTTAATGACAATGACATTGGGTTAAACCAGGTGTGATTTTGTACCTGAAGTTAACTCTTCTTTCCGTTTCTTGCATTTCCATTTGTAAGAAGCATGTTTTCACTTTTGAGAGCTATATCACCTTCCTTGTACTGTGGCATAAATTATTGATAGTCCACTAAAATCTATTCCTTATTCTTCTTTTCCCTGGTATTATTCAAATGTCCACTCTTTCCCACATAACTCAGGGGAAGTCAATCCTACTCCTAATTCAAGGGAATTTTAGATTAGGTTCAGCTAAAAATCTTGGTGTTTCTATGCCCCTTGGCAGTGATTGTTCCTTGTCCCAGTTTTAGTCATATGTCACATGTCAGGTGAAATGAGAGGACTAAGGGGAATGGGTAGAAAAGATTTAGTTCCACTTAGCAAGGGAACATTGGATGAGAAAGCACATGTTGGCTTTTGATATTTGTCCTATCTGGAATACATGCTTCTTCAAATTGCTACAGGGATCATCTTTTGTCACGAGGAGATTCAGCTTGAGGGCAAAACAAATGCCTTAAAATGGCAGAAAAAATATAAAACCTTGGGTACTTGATGGAATCATTGGGTTCTTGACTCCCTACTATATTTCTGGATTTACTGCTGTGTGAGATAATGAATTTCTTTCTTTTTCAAACCAACTTGAATAAAATATTTGGCTACTTAAAATAGTATCCTAATTATAGCCATTATTAAATGATATCTTAATTTTGTAAATAAAAGTTTTAGAAGTAGTAATTTAGATTATTGAAGAAACTTTACAGACTACTTGGGTTTTGTAAATTTTAGATATGGTTAGTGCTATTAGTCTATAAAAACTTATTATTCAAATCACCATGCATTAAGTTTTTAATACAGTAGATAAGTCAATCATCTTATTAACTAGATTTATTTTAAAATGAATAAATTATGCAGGAGGTAGAGGCTAGCAAAACTAGGAATAATCTAACAAGCTCAGACAATAGAGAACTAAATTTAAAATTTTTTGAAATATAAATTCATAATCTAATCAGTTCACAAAATTATACCACTATTTATTGGCTGTGTGGTATCTTTAGTGTATTGAAAACATTAAATATACATAAAGAAATATTGAAGCAATTTCAGTGCCTGGTCTGAGTAATTTAAAACTTACAGTGTGATGTTAAGACTAATTAGTAACTATTTAAATATAGAAGATAAAGCTGATAAAAGTAAAATTTTAAAAAATGGTAAACTATAGTTCCACTCACAGAGGTATAAAAAAATACAGACATACAGTAAACTTTTAAGTAAGAGCTAGTGACAAAGATTTTCTCCTTGACCAAATCCTGGTCAGGCTCTTGTGCGTCCTCTTCTCAACCAGGCCTTGACTTTTGGGCTTCTGTGTTCTGATCTGCATTGCCAAATTTAGCAAGAATCCTGCTAAGTGTCTTTGGCCATCCTCAATATTTGACCACTCTATATCTAATGAGGGTCCTCACCTTCCACCATTTCCCAGATGATATCTCATCACCCTAACCTTCATTCAGCAAGAATCCTGACTAGTAATTTTTCTTCCACTGTCTTACATCCTGCTATTTGGCTACAAATTCCTACTTTTTCTTGTAGTATTTGAAGTTGAGCCTAATTTTTCTTACTCACTGCAAAAACCCCATTGCAATGGTCCCAACGCCTGTTATGATGGTCCTGAATAAAGTTTGCCTTCCTGTTCTTTAATAATGTCATGAATCATTTTTTTCAACACTAATTTTATAAAACTCTAGTTCACTGGAACCATTAGCAATTTAATCTTTTTCTGCCACCAAGTTCTTGACCTGACCCAGCCTTTACAATGACTTAGCAGTATGCATATTGGTTTTTGTAATGTGCTCTAATCAAAGTAGGGAGATATATATCTCTTTGTCTTTTTGCCCTGAAGGTGGTAGGAATAACCCAAATCTGAGAATTGACAAGAGCAGGGATGAAATATATTTTGGAGTATTATTGCTCGCTTTAGCTGAAATAGTTAACCAAGTAGTTTAAGCAGGAGGTGGAGGCAAGCAGAACTAGGACTAACCTAACCTGCTGAAAGAATAGGCAAAGTGTCATAATGGGCAGGTTTGCTGGGAATGAGGGATGTGAGAAATAAAAAGCCAGAGGTTGTGTGGGCAGTGCACTTGAAGAGAGTTGGTGAAACTGTAGGTAGGAATGTTACAGATGCTGAAAGTCTGCAGTAAAGCTGTGTGGCAACCAGGTCATTGGTCAAGACTGAGAAAGGCTAATGTATTAGAACTGGTATCAGTATGGGTGTTAAAAGCATGGAGATTGGGTTGGAGGGAAACATAGCCAATAACTGGAATACCTAAGGAAAGTGAAAGAGACATTAGAGAAGCAGTTATTGATGGCGACATTTGAAGTAACAAGACCTCCTACATTACTGTGATTGACTTGTGCATATTAGTTTTTTTGCATAAGAATGCAATAAACATGCTTGAGATGCTTGCTTTATGAGATCATGACCTTCATTCATGGCAACTAAGGAAGTCACCACACTGGGGAAGCTAGGCAAGGGAGACCAGAGAATACAAAGTGCTGCAATTCTCAGAGGATTACTGTTCTTTTGGAAATGATTGTTTAGAGATTGTCCTGGGGCCCCCCTCTGCCCTTACAGAATAGGAGTACCCTCTGGCGACCTTTGCTTGTTTTAAAAGGGAGCCACATTCTTGTGGGTTTTTGAATGAGAATAAATGCTGCTTGGTATGGAAATTACCATAAAGGAACTCTGCTTATGGAAGAGTTTGGAAATTATAGTAGAAAATATAACTTGGCTCACAGCAGATATAAAATGAGGGAAAGGATGTATATCTAGATAATTCAATTTCCAACTCCCACTTGTGCTGAAATAATCAGATAAAGTAAAAATAGCACCCTTCCTTAATTTGTCTCTTTCTGTCTATTAAGATCTTCATAAGATTCATAAGATTCATATTAACATCTTCATAAGATTTCTCTAATCTATTTTCTTATACCTATGAGTTGACACCAAAATGGATTTTTCGAACCAGAGAGTAAAGATACAAAGAATAGTATTTAGAGTGCTATGTCCTAAGCATCATGTTAAATGTTTTTTACAATTTACAAATGGTAAAGAAACTTGTCTAAGTATCCACAGCCAGCAAACAGTGGAACCAGGGCAATTGGTAGGATGGGAAGTAATGCGTCTCAACCACCATACTAGCTGAAAAAGTGTGCTGTTGAATGCCAACTGGACAGTTAGGCCACCTTTGTAGCTGTCTTTACAAGTGAGAATGTAACACCTTTGAATTACCTGACTTCCTAGATTCCTGGCAGATGCTCGATTCCTTCTTTTTTGTCCCTCTGATGGCACAATGAGCTACTTATTTCCTGCTCTTAGGCATAGCTACTTGTACCTCCTGTGTGATAAGACATTTGTTCATTTTATCCTCTTCAGTCAGATAAAGCATAAAAATTAATGCATTGTTTAAGGAAAAACTCTCAAACTATGTTTTTCCTCTGCTCTCATACAACAACAACCAGCACAGATGACTTCTGTGACCAAATATATGGGTTTTTTTCCCCATCAATAAGCAGTGGACAGCAAATGAGTGTCTTCTAATTCAATTCTGACATTATCTCTCTGGAGATAATGTCAGATCTCACAGGTTGAGGGCTCATTCCCCAAGACTGCCCCTCATGCCCCTCCAACACTTGTTGGAAGTCCGGGCCTCTGTAACTTCTGACCCACTGACTTCAAGCTGGAGTTCCCACGATCCCCTCTTTGGATGTGATTAATTCGCTGAAGCAGCTTACAGAACTCAAGGAAACACTTACTTATGTTTACCAGTTTATTATAAAGGATAATAGAAAGGATGCAGATGAAGAGATGCATAGGGCGACGTATAGGGACTTACATGCCTTCCCTGGGTGGGCCACCCTCCAAGAACCTCTACATGTTCAGCTATCCAGAAGGATGCTCTCTGAACCCTTTTTGGGTTTTGAGGAAGGCTTCATTATATAGGCATGATTGACAACCAACAGTGTAGAAATGTGATTGGACAAAGCACATGATCTAAACCCAGAAAGGCCTGTCTGTTCAGACTTTTCTTGGCCCCTCTGTGTAGCATTCCTTCCTTTAGGGTATGGGGGAGGACTCTCTGTAATGAGTGTTTTGATTCACAATCAGATTAGAGTCCTGCTTGGGCAGGTAAAGGAAGGACAGGAGGTCAGAGAGGTTTCCTGAGGCCTAAAGTGCTCCAGCATTATAACAAGGACTATGAAAGTTGGGAGCCAGGAAATGTGGATGAAAAACAATATATAATTATCGTGATACCACATCCATTGACAATGTTTTGTCTGCATATTCCTTTGACTTTTGCCTGATTTGATTTGTCAGGATAGTTAAAATGTTAGGTGAGATAGTCTAATTTCTTCTTTTTAAAAAGATTTTCAAAATTTATTTTCAAGACAGTCTTGTTCTGTCGCCCAGGCTGGAGTGGAGTGGCGCAATCTTGGCTCACTGCTGCCTCTGCCTCCCAGGTTCATGTGAGTCTCCTGCTTCCGTCTCCTGAGTAACTGGGATTGCAGGCATGTGCCACTGCGCCTGGCTAATTTTTGTATTTTTAGTAGAGACGGGGTTTCACCATGTTGGCCAGGCTGGTCTCGAATTCCTGACCTCAAGTGATCCGCCCTCCTCAGCCTCCCAAAGTGCTGGGATTATAGGTGTGAGCCACCGTGCCTGGCCTGATTTCTTCTTAATCCCATTTTTCCTCCTTGGTTTTGTCAAATGATAAGATTTGGGTAAATATAACCTAAGATATAAAATTACTAATATCAATAGTTTCTAATTGTTCAACATGTACTTTTCACTTAAGTATTTGATAACATTTTTCTTCACTGAGAAGATGGACTAGATAACCTCAGAGAACATTTCAGCCCTTAGGGTAGTCTAAAATTTAACTTTAAATAGTTTATTTTCCTTTTTTTAAAAACAAACCTAAAACCAATTTCTTAATCAAAATACCATATTCAAAGTTGTCCTAATTTTGGCAGTTAATTTCATCATTTTGTCTTTCTTTGGTAAGTTAAACTGTTAGACATTTGATCTCTGTGGTATTTGTTGCTGGGGTATTATAAAAACGTTCTCTTGGCAGGGGATTTGACATTCTAGTTGTGAGGGAAGATTTCTTGGTAGAAAGCAATGAGAGTGTGCAGAGAGTGGTTCAAATGTGTAAGCAGGAGGAGAGAATGTATGGTTTAGCTACAGAATAGGAGACTGAAAATAGAGCTAGAGAATAGGGTAGAAAGAGAAGAGGGACTAAAATTGCTGGAGATGAAGCCAGTGAGGCAGGGAGTCATCTGGTCAGACTTTACAATCCAAAGTTTGTACTTCATTCTAAGAGCAATTCAAAACCATTTAACAAAGGTTATAATGGAGTTGGTGACAAAATGTCATCATCTACGTTTTAGAAAGAGCTGAGTTGATGTCTGCCAATATGTCTAGGCAAGAGGGAGTGGAAGCCTAGTTTAGAGGGATGACCATGGGAAATGACTTCATTCCAAGATATTAAAGAAGAAATAATGTTTTGTACTTTTTGTGTATTTGATGACTATCAATAATTGTGGGAGGTAAACAGTAGGATGTAGGCAGGAGAATGGCGTAAATCTGGATTCTAAGTTTTCTGGTTTTGGTAACTTGGGTGTTTGTACCATTTATCAACAGAATAAATACAATAGAAGCAGAATTATTGAAGGAAAATAATGATTTTGTAGGTGGTCAATAAATGATAGCTAGTATTATTATGTCATGAAACTATGATTCTTGGATTTTTATGTTTAAATTTTACAGTATAATTATATGCTGTTTTCATTTTGATTAACAAATATGATATTTTATGAAAATAAATTTATACACAATGATAAATACAGGTAGAACAACTTCAACGTATCATGTAATTTGTGACTTACAAAAGATAAAAATTAGGATACAAAATTAATTTCTGTTTTGACATATCTGCATTAAAAAGTTATATGTTTTCAGAAGAAAATACATACCAGTTTAAAAATATTGTGTAATTTGAAGTGAGATACATCTCCTTTTTCGAGATTTTTTTTTTTACAAATAAAATATGGTAGTAGGAAGTTTACAATGTAAAATATTCATATGAAACAAAATAAGAAAGCCTCAATCCTAAAATTATGTATGAGAAAGCTACTAAGTTTTTTAGTTCACATGGGTCAATAGTTTTCAATTATATAATTAATTTATGCTGTTGAAACACATTTAAGAATACTGGAGTTTAGTATAAAGGAAAAAAGGCTAGTTTCCCTGGCTGTTTTGATTTGCATTCTTCTTTATTGTTTAATTATAATTGAGATCATGTGCCACACACTGGTTTGTAGACTGAGTTCTTTTCACATAATATGCTGTGGTGTATAGCCATTGATTTAGGTGTATTTACTGATATGGGAGCAGGAAGAACTTCAGAAGGAGAATCCTGTGGATCTAATTTCATGATTTCATATTTGTAGTACTATTAAAGATAAATAGGAAATGGTGTGGATTGATAACATCTAAACAGAAAATTAGTAATAAGAGAAACATTAATCATTTGGCAGTGGTTTTTGTTGGAATCACTACGCCAGCAATTTTTCACCAGTAGACAAGGATGAGTACATTATAAACTGGGTGTCATTGTGCCAGTCCTGCCCCTGGGCTTTATCTCTCACTCAGCTCTTGATCATGATTACTAAGGCCTACAGTCTGAATCTTTTAGGTCATTTTTTTTTTTCCCCCGGTGGCCTGCATTAGCATCCACATGTGTTCAGACTCAACTAATTTGATTATGAGGAGAGACTGTCTGTGACTGTCTTCCTGACATCAGCACAGTCATTAAAGTAACTTAACATCATGGACAGAATCTGTTTTTTAGGTTTGGTATTTTAAATGCATCATTTCCATCAAGGGCTAATGGCAAGCTGCATTCTGTTTTGTAAATGTACATGGGAAAGTAATTATCACAGAAAAATGTTTTAGAAAATAATTTTCCTCAGTATTAAAATGAAAACATTACAAAAAAAGCTTTTGACCATCTTTTCCCCAACATTTAAAAAAGGTTAAAATTTGAAAAACAAATATATGAGTGTGTGTTTGTGTGAGAGAACAAACCCACAGAACATAAATGCACTAGAGCTTTGTTTTATGTCCCCCATTTACATCTTATGTACTGAACTTCTCCAAGTTCTGAACTTCTGCAAGTTCAGTAAAAAAGATGAAGTGTATAGTCCGTAAGATGTTATAGAATGCCAAGATGAGTTATTAAAGACTTACTGAGGTGCAGATAGACCTGGCTCCTTACCAGACATTCCCATGGTGTGTAGTCTTGCTCCTGGCTCCATCACTTGCTAGTAAAGGGTCTTGAGAACTCTTATTTAGCTCTGAGATTATTCAGAGATTATTTGGCTTTTCTAGAAGTTTTTCTTGAATGTAAAATGAAGATAATGGCCCGAACCTTGTATGCATCACTGAGAGGTATAAAAGAGAGTATCTGCCGTGGTACTTGTACATTTTCATGGAGCTTTTTCTTGTGTGTTCCCTCCCTTAGCCCCCAGATTATTAGAGTTCGTGTGTCTCTGTTTAGCTTGGGGAGCAGGCAGCATCAGATTTTCTTGTTCTTCATCTGTCAGATCACCATGAAGCTCCTAAACATCCATAGTTAACATTTATATTGTTACTTTGTTGTTTTTGAAATTGTTCCTTTTCACAGTTTGAATCCAATGGCATTTTTCTTTTCGATCCTGTCTTTTGGGAGATGTAACATCACGAATGATCTCTGTCTTAAGAAGGAATTGGCTAGGCTTGGTGGCTCACACCTGTAATCCCAGCACTTTGGGAGGTTGAGGTGGGCAGGTTGCTTGAGCCCAGCAGTTCAAGACCAGCCTGGGCAACATGGTGAAACCCCATTTCTACAAAAAATACGAAAAATAGCCTGGCATGGGGATGTGCACCTGTGGTCCCAGCTACTCAGGAGGCTGAGGTGGGAGGACTGCTTGAGCCTGGGAGGTTGAGGCTGCAGTGAGCCGAGATCACACCACTGCACTTCAGTCTGGGCAATAGAGCGAGACCCTCTCTCAAAATAAATAAATAAACAAGAAGAAATTAAGGTATATTATCTTGAGATTCCAACTCAATATAAGAAAGAAGCTTCTGATAATGGATCAAGATTGATTATGCAATAGTGATGCTCTGTTACTGAACCTTTTTGGAGAAAGGCTGAGTAACTACGGATCAGGGCTATTGTTGAAGAGTATCCCATAGCTTGTCTGTAGCTTAAGACATTGAGAGAAAAAAAATTTTAAGTCCAACTGTGATAATTGAAATTTAAATTGAGTGATCAATCTTGTGGAATAATATTTGTAAATACGGGAGAGCCAATAATTGTGTGCTAAGTGGATGAAGGCTGCTGGGGTTCCTGCTTTTACTATGCAGACTTTCATTCATTCAACATACTTTTTAAAGCTTATTTTTTGCTATGTGCCAACTACTGTGCTAGATTCCTCCAAGGTATTCTTAATGTCAGAGAAGAGTGGACTTATAAGCTTAATCTGCCTTCTGCAAGTGTACTTCCTTTGAAGTCTTAAATTCATTAGAATCTGGCCTTCTGCTTCATAAAGTTTGTTTTAAAGTAAACCTTCTATATTTCAGTTACAATGAGGCAATTTCAATCCTCTAGGAATATGGGTTATTAATTTCTGTGACTTCATTTACTCCCCAACTCTGCTACATTTCCTAAGTGTTTATGTGCCTCTGTTAGAGTTCTGTAGCTGTGGACTCTGAGGAACCATTCAAGGTTTTTAAACAAAATAAAAGGAAGGGAAAAAGAGGAAAGGAACATGATACACTTTGCACTTATAAAACCTCACAGCTTTGAGCAAGACAGAATGAAGAGGTATGAGAATAAAGTAATATAAGTAAATTGGAAAATGTTAAAATAGTCTCGATTAGAGAAGATGAAGGCCTGAATTTAAGAAATATCAAGGAGATTGAAGAAGAATGAATCAGGGTGATGTTTAATTTATAGAAATTGTTGGTTGATTGGATGTGAGCATATCAAGAAAAAGAAATAGAATCATGTGTAAATTGCAAGCTTGCTTGGTTGACTGGATTGCAGTAAAATTCACCAAGACAAGGAAATATGAGACAAAGAATGTGATTGGAAGAAAAAAGTAAGAATTCTTCTTTGTATTTTTGAGTTTGAGGTGTTTTGGGGACATTCAGGGAGAGGTGCTCTATAGTGAGTTGGATATACCATTTGGAAGTAGGGGGAAATCCTGAGATGGAGATGGATTTGAGAGTCCTCAGCCTGGAGATGACTGTCAATGGCATGAAGTCATACCCCTGAGAGCACTGATATTTGAGGAGAATCAGAAAATGAGAAGCCAGTAACAGACACAGAGAAGAAAATCTGAACCCATAATTTCAATACCAGAGGGACTTCTTAAACCTCATAGGAGGAAGCTAATAGAGATCTAAACTAGATCATTTTAGAAGAGATAGAAAAGAAAGGACTAACTTGAAAAATATTTTAATAGGACTTAACTGTGTTAAAGATGAAATTGTATCTAATATTTGTCAGATATTTCTAGAAATGGTCAGCTTAGCTGGCCAGGGCTTTGTGTTCATTTTTGGGTTGCAGCTTTCCGTGTCCACACAGTTCCTTACCTGAAATTGAATAGAGATTTCAGAAGCCTGGCAAAATGAGTTTCAATCCTTGGTCAAAGGATAAAGAATTATGGGCCTCCAACTCAAGGAATTATGCCCAATTCCCCAAATAATATTTCTGCAGTTGGTTATTGGTTTCCACAAATACTTTTTTTTTTTTGAGTCGGAGTCTCGCTCTGTTGCACAGGCTGCAGTGCAGTGACATGATCTTGGCTCACTGCAAGCTCCACATCCCGGGTTCAAGCGATTCTCCTGCCTCAGCCTCCCGAGTAGCTGGGACTACAGGCATGCGCCACCGTGCCCAGCTAATTTTTGTATTTTTAGTAGAGACGGGGTTTCACCATGTTGGTCAGGATGGTCTGTATGTCTTGACCTTGTGATCCTGCCTGCCTTGGCCTCCCAAAGTGCTGGGATTATAGGCGTGAGCCACCATGCATTGTGGAGTTAACTTTTCCTTTTTGTGACTTCATCTTGAGCTTTGCTGATTCTGACACCATTTTGAATTTGACCAGTCATTTAAAAGAAGTAGAGATACCTAGAAATAAATATGAGTAGATGTATCCAATTTTAACAAAATTGATTTTCTCAGTTACTGAAATTTACTATGAAGTTATATTAATATTTAGAAAGCATTTTATGATAAGCATTATAAAAATGTTTATTTATATTTATATATTTATAAATCTAATATTTATATGTATATAATAAAATATAAATATTTAAATACAATAAATTTAATATTTGTATGCATATACTTATACGTATAAGTATATACATATGTACTATAATACTTAGAAGCATTATATATTATAAATATATACACATTACATATTTATTATATATTATATTAATACACATATACCTTGAATACAATTACTACTAAACATTTCTTAACTCAAACTGGCTTTTTAACAAAATAATTCTGACGGAAAAATAAAGAATTTAGAGAAATACAGCATTAATATAGACTTCTAACTACACTTGTAGTGAGGTCTTTATAGACAGCTCCTTCAATATAATTCAAAAACACCATACCTAGATTTGCTATTGTCTTTCTGTTATGTCATATCTCTTTATGTTTTTTTCTTTAAAATACCTAAGTACTTTAGAAAATATCTAAGACTATTTTTTTTAATTTCTCCTAAAAAAAAACCCAGATATATGTTCAGAATGTGCAGGTTTGTTACACAGATATATGTTTTCCATGGTGGTTTGCTGCACCTATTGACCTATCCTCTAAGTTCCCTCCCCTCATCCCCCATCCACCAACAGAACCTGGTGTGTGTTGTTCCCTTCTCTGTGTCCATTGTTCAACTCCCACTTATAAATGAGAACATGTGGTATTTGGTTTTCTGTTTCTGTGTTAGTTTGCTGAGGATGATGGCTTCCAGCTTCATCCATGTCCCTGCAAAGGACATGATCTCATTCATTTTTATGGCAGCATAGTATTCCATGGTGTATATGTACCACGTTTTCTTTATCCAGTCTATCATTGATGGGCATTTGGTTGGTTCCATGTCTTTGCTGTTGTAAATAGTGCTGCAATAAACATATGTGTGCATGTGTCTTTATAATAGAATGATTTATAATCCTTTGAGTAAATACCCGGTAATGGGATTGCTGGGTCAAATGCTATTTCTAGTTCTAGATCCTTGAGGAATCGCCATACTGTCTTCCACAATGGTTGAACTAATTTACATTCCCCCCAACACTGTAAAAGCGTTCCTAATTCTCCACAGCCTTGCCAGCATCTATTGTTTCCTGACTTTTTAATAATCGCCATTTTATTGGCATGTGCATTTCTCTGATGGTCGGTGATGTTGAGCTTTTTTTCACATGCTTGTTGGCCGCATGAATGTCTTCTTTTGAGAAGTGTCTGTTCATATCCTTTGCCCACTTTTTGATGGGGTTGTTTGTTTTTTTCCTGTAAATTTGTTTAAGTTCCTTGTAAACTCTGGATATTAGACCTTTGTCAGATAGGTGGATGGCAAAAATTTTCTCCCATTCTGTAGGTTGCCTGTTCACGCTGATGATAGTTTCTTTTGCTGTGCAGAAGCTCTTTAGTTTAATTAGATCCCATTTGTCAATTTTGGCTTTTGTTGCAATTGCTTTTGACGTTTTTGTTATGAAGTCTTTGTCCATGCCTGCGTCCTGAATGGTATTTCCCAGGTTTTCTCCTAGGGTTTTTATGGTTTTGGGTTTTACATTTAAGTCTTGAATCCATCTTGAGTTAATTTTTGCATCAGGTGTAAGGAAGGGGTCCAGTTTCAATTTTCTGCATATGGCTAGCCAGTTGCACCATTTACTGAATAGGAGATCCCTTACCCATTGGTTGTTTTTGTCAGGTTTGTTGAAGATCAGATGGTTGTAGATTTGTGGGGTTATTTCTGAAGTCTCTGTTCTGCTCCATTGGTCTATATGTCTGTTTTGATACTAGTACCATGCTGTTTTGGTTACTGTAGCCTTGTAGGATAGTTTGAAGTCAGGTAGCATGATGCCTTCAGCTGTGCTCCTTTTGCTTAGGATTGTCTTGGCTATATGGGGTGTTCTTTGATTGACCATGAAATTTAAAGTAGTTTTTTCTAATTCTGTGAAGAATGTCAATGGTAGTTTGATGGGAATGTCATTGAGTCTATGAATTACTTTGGGCAGTATGGCCATTTTCACAATATTGATTTTTCCTATCCATGAGGATGGAATGTTTTGCCTTTTGTTTGCATCCTCTTTTATTTCTCTTTTATTTATTTTATTGAGAATTGGTATTTTATTTTATTGAGAATTGGTATTTTATTGAGAATTGAGTATTTTATTTATTTTATTGAGAATTGGTATATAGTTCTCCTTGAAGAGGTCCTTCACATACCTTGTTAGATGTATTCCTAGGGAAAATGCCTAACTAAGGCTTTTAAATTTTTTTCTTCTTTTAAAGTTTCATAAAAAGGAAAATTAAAAAAAAAACAAAATACATATAAAATAAAGTAACATAATAAGACTCCATTCTTGGATCTAGTGCTGGCATGAAGTCTTAACACTGTCTGTAGAGTCGTTTTTAGTCATTTTTAGTTGTGGATTCTTTTGAATTTTCTATATTTTCTATATAGTTCTTGGTACCAACTGGATAGCCTTCAAGTTACTTAATCTGTCTATATAAAATGGAGGTCACTTTGGTGAGAAAAATCTCTTCACAAAAGTTTCCTAACAAAATACTAGTAGTACAGTAGGGGAATTGTCTCTGTCCTTAAGAATCATTTTTTATTACTTGAAATGTCAAAGTCAAACTTTCTCCTGTGCAAATTTTTTCTTTTAATTGTTATCCTGTAAAGTGAAAAATAGAACCCATGTCCTAGTGTCCTAGATCTTTATCCTCCCCCTCTCCATTTTTCATGATTTAGTTTCTTGCATACTCAACAACCTCTCTCCTCCCACTTGCCCAAGGTCACACAGCTAGGATGTAGGCCTCAGCCAAATTTGTAGTCAGCCAGTATGTCTCCATAACTTGTGCTTTTACCGACTACAATTTTTTAATAAAACTAACTTTGTAAAACCTCCTTTGGCTCCACAGGCTAAGTAGATTATACTGTGCTCTGTTGCCAGCCCCACTACACTTTCTTTATGTACCTTTTAAATACATTACAGTAGTCTCCCCTTAACAATGGTTTTGTTTTCTGCAGTTCCAGTTACCTCCGGTCAATTGTGGTTGGAAAATATTAAATGGAAAATTCCAGAAATAAACGATTCTTGTTTTAAATTGCACACTGTTCTGAGTAGCGTGATAAAACCCCACACTATCCCCTACTTTTGAATCATCCCTTTGTCTAGCCATCCGTGCTGTCTGTGCTCCCCACCCATTAGTCACTTAGTAGCCATCCCGTTATCAGATCTGCTGTCTTGGTATAGCAGTGCTTGTGATCAGGTAACCCTTATTTTACTTAATAATGGCACCAAAGCACAGAGTAGTGATGCTGAGAATTTTAATATGCCAAGAATAAGCCTTGAAATGCTTACTTTAAGTGAAAAGCTGAATGTTTTCAACTTAATAAGGAAAGAAAAAAAATCATATGCTGAGATTGCTGAGATCCATGGTGAAAACTAATCTTCAATCCATGAAATTGTAACGAAGGAAAAGAAACTCAGGCTAGTTTTGCCATCTCACTTCAAACTGTAAAAGTTATGGCTGCAGTGCATGATAACTTTTATTACAGTATGTTGTTGTAATTGTTCTTTTATATTAGTTATTGTTAATCTCTTACTGTGCCTAATTTATAAATTAAGCTTTATCATATGTATCTATAGGAGAAAACATAGTAAATATAAGATTTGGTGTTATCCTTGGTTTCAGGCATCCACTGGGGGTCTTCAGATGTATCCCCTGCAGATGAGGGAGGACTGCTGTATAGTGATATTTTTCTGTCTGTATTGTGGCCTATCAGAGTCTGTTTCCCAATGTCTTTGTTTCAGACCTTTGAATTTTTTGTATTTAATCATTGTCTTTATAGCACTTAGCATACTACTTGATGTTAAGAAAGTACAAAATAAAGGTTTCTTGGATTAATGAATACAGTAGGCCCCCTTCATCCTCAGGAGACACGTTCCAAGATCCTCAGTGGATGCCTGAAACCACAGATAGTATGTAACCCTGTATATACCTGTACTATGTTTTTTCCTGTACATACCAATCTATGATAAGGTTTAATTTATAAATTAGGCACAGTAAAGGATTAACAATAATAACTAAAAGTAAAATAGAACAATTATGGTAATGTACGGTAATAAAAGTTATATGAATGCTCCCTCTCTCGGTCTCTCAAAATATCTTAATATTTTCAGACTGTGACTGATTGAGGGTAATTGAGCCACAGAAAGCAAAACTGCAGATTAAGGGAGGCTATTGTTAAGTGAATGAATGTAAGAAACACCAAGAAGAAGCAGGATATGAGTAAATTGCTGCTATGAAAGATAAAAAGAAATAGTTGTAATGATGGCGATTACCATTTAGGGTAAAACGTGGAAGAAAAAGCCATGATATTTGATCTACAGTTAGAATGAAATTTTATTTATTGCTCTGAATAGAATGTATAGCTCTCTTTTTGCTTGTATGCCTGATACAACAGAGAAAGGTAGAAAGACTCCCTTTTACAACTCATTTTCTGTTTTTGTAAAGGCAGATAAAACTGACAAGTTTCATCCTGTGACAAGAAACTTCTAATATATTTGAAGAATTACAGTCTCTTTGGCTAGCAACTACCCTCTTTATGGCCTTTCACACTTTTTTGACTTTTTGTCTACTAGGTTGTTTGCTTTCTGGTAGATTTTTTCATTACAGTTGCACACTCACTTCTGTACATTTTCTCCATTTGAGTGTCCCAGGTCCTGCATTATGTCACTTCTCTACTCAAAACCTTCCACTGGCTTCCATTTCATATAAAGGAAGAGTAATTACTTGGGAAGTCCCACATGGTATGGCCTCTTGATGCCTTTGTGGCCTCATTGCTCACTGTTCACACAGCGCCCTGACTGCTCCTCCCCAGCTGTCCCTTATGCTTCACTTTTCAACTCCTGCTTTTTCCTCAGAAGTCATCTTCCTGGGAAGCCTACCCTTACCTCCATATTTAAAATCACAACTCCTTGGTATTTCCCATTAATCCTATTTTAATATTTTCAGTAGTACTTATCACCTAATATACTATATCATGTAATAATCTGGTATTCTTAATATTTCTTATCTACAAGAGTAGAATCCCCATAAAAGTAGAGATTGCTGTGCATTTGTTTATATTCCTAGGAACCCAAAACCTATAACAGTGCCAGGCATGATAGGCTTTCAAATATTTGATGAGTGAATGAAGAAACAATAAATTCAAGATCTCATTTCCTTTAAAGAAAACATGCCTCCTTGAAAATGCTTATATTAAAATATGCCTTGGGAAGAACTGTGAGAAAGATGCAAATGTTAGATAATGAATTGGGAGAGGGCCACACCTGCACTTAACCCTTCCTCTGTTACCTGAGTGCCACTACCTAGCAAAATCGGTTTTTATCTCATAGACATTAGCAGAAAACAAGCCAAACTCTCCCCCATGATGTATGTAGCCCTGCACAATCTGGCCTCAGCCACTTGACTACCTCATTTCATCCCATAGGAAGGAATTACGTAATTTTTCATGGCTCGTTTGGTTTCCTAAGATTATATGTATGCACAGATGTAGGTGAGGACTTTAATCCTAAGAACATGGTTCTTTTCAGATTGAATTGCAATTTTCTCCTGAATGAAATAGGAAACATATTTTTACAAGATATACTGGAAGTAAAGTGATAGTCGACACAATCTAGTCAACTGGGATTTTGATTGATGATCTGGGGAGTCTAAGAAGCAGTGACAACCAGAGAGAAATATATTTAGTATAATTTAATAATAACCTGATTTGCATGTTTTTGTCTGTTGGAGTAATTACATAGATTTATCTCTTATATCTTTACATTGTTTTATTTTTCCAGATTATGGTGCAGTCTGTCAAATGTTTATGTATTGAAAAGGCCACTTACTGATAGAGTATGAGAAATTCAGAGTATACGTGTTTTTGTTGTATTTATATGTGCCATGTTAATGGATAGCTTTCCTTGGAAAGTTGGGGAGGACATAGATTTTATTTATAATGTATAATAATATACTTAATCATGACTATATAACTTAAAATATTATAAACATGTATTTTAAAATATGCTATTAAGTGAATTAGTGAGGTTTTTTTTTTATATTGTGGCATATGTATAGTGGATCGAAGATGATATTAGATGGAATGAGAAAAGTTTTTCTGAGAGTAAAACTATAGTTCCATAAGTAGATTGATTTTATGATCACAGCTTTTTCTTTTCCAGTTTTTCATTGTTCATTTTTGATACCTTGGCAAACTAATCTTTAGTGTCAGCCAAAATTTCACTTGGCTATTTATTGTAAATTGCCCTAATTGATGAGTGAAAAAACTTTTGATACCTGCCTAATCTTAGTTGGATGAAATAACTGATTTCCTTCTAATTAATTTTTGCTCCATAAAATGATATGTTAATAAATGAGGAAAATCAGTCATGATCTAGAAAGTGCAGTTATTCTTGTTCAGAATTAAATAAAGCAGAATGGAGAAAATGCAAAGCATTTTTTTGACTGTTGACTGACTATCGCTATATATGTTATTTTAGTGAATCAGAGTAAGTCTCATAAAAGTTGTAAAACATTTAGTCAGAGGGTATATAAATTTTTTATAGCTAGTAGGAAAATTTCTAAGTCCTTTTAACATGCCCAAATGTGCTGTTGTTATCAGTTGTTTTATTTTCAGACAGATAACAAAAATGTCAATAAAATTCCCAGAGTAACAATGGTGTGCTGATGGTATTCAATTGTTCTTTTCTTTCAATAAACTCCATATATGGAAATGTAGCTCAATATGAGGCAGAAGGTGGGACTCAACAACGGAGACAGGGCTGGAACACCGGATCAAATTGAGGACTAGCTAAAGCAAGGAAGGGGCAGAGGCAGCTTTCCATAAGACATGCCCAGCAGTGCACCATATTAGTTTATCATTGGCATGGTGAGTTACTATAAGTTAACTCCCAAGTTACCACTGCTTTCCGTGGGAATAATCCAACAACCCAGGAGTTATTACCCTTTTCCTAGAAATTTCTGCATAATCTGCCCCTTAATTTGCATGTAATTAAAAGCAGGTATAAATATGACTGCAGAACTGCCTTTTAGCTGCTATTCTAGGCGCGCTTCCTATGGGGTAGCTGTGCTCTGCAAGGAGCAGTGCTTCTGCTTCTGCTGTACACTACCACCTCAATAGAGGCTCCTACCATTGTCATGCCTTTGATTTCTTTCCTGGACAGAGTCAAGAACTGTCCCAAGCTAAGCCCCAGTTTGGGGGCTTGCCTGCCCTGCATCGAATACATTATTTAATTTATGGGTGATATTTGTTTTCTAAACATTTTTAAATCTGTGGAATAAACTCTGTAGAATTTAGCTAGCAAATTCCTTTATTGGGAACATGATTAAAGCTGTTATTGTAACTGTTGAACAATTTCTATATTATACAAAGCAAGATATTTGCATTAAATGTTAATAAGCTATAGCAGAATTTTTGCATCTTGCTTTTGGGAAAGCTTATTCTTTGTAAAAATAAAAGTTTTTACACATGAATGCATTCTTATTATAAAAGATTCAAACACAAGACAGAGAGAGCAAAATAGGAATGTTTACCTTCATGGCCCCCTTACACCCACGTCCCTCAGAGGTAAAAACAATAGTTTAGTATGCATTATTCCAGTACAAAATTTTGACCATTTTCAGACTTGTACATCTTGATGTTAATACATTGAAAGATGGAATCATAGTGTATATTCTTTTAACTTGGGTTGGAGGAGGTCAACATACTTTGGAAATAAAGAGATTTGATTTTACAACTGAAGGTCACCCTTTATTATTTGGACAAATCTACCCAACTAGCTACCACTGCTAGCATCTCATAGGAATGGGAAACATGACTATGAGCATATAAAATAATTGTGTTAAGTCAGGTCATTCATCAACAAGCCAGAAATGTAGCTTAAATAGCAACCCTTTTTCTTTTATGGTTGTTTGCCAAGTTTGCCTACAGTCCTTGTATATGTGTGTGATCATTACTACAGCATGACCCCATATTGCATTTCTCATATTAGCCATAAATACTTATTACAAAACTTTAGATTTTTATTTTGTTGATTCAGAGCTCTTTTTTTGTCCTATTCTTTCTTTCATTTGATCTTTTTTGCCCTTTTTACTTTCTTCTATCATTGAGCTTAATATCTTGGAGTATGTTTGATGGTGATAAGTTTAGTATGGGGTTTCCCAGTCTTGGCAATATTGACATTTTGGGAAAGACAACTCTTTGTTGTCAAGGGAGTGGCCCTGTGCATTGTAGCATGTTAAGCAACATCCCTGGCCTCTACCCACTAGACACCAGCACAGTGCCCCTAGTTGTGATAAGGCAAAATGTCTCTAGATGTTGTCAAATGTCCCTGGGAGGCAAAAGCATTCCTAGTTGGTGCCAAATGTCCGCTGGGAGGAAGACCATCACCAGCTGATGCCAAATGTCCCCTAGGGAGCAACACCATGGTGGTAGAGAACCAAAGTTTATTAGCATCTCTAAACTCATATAGTATTTTTTGGACATATTTTTAAAGGAAAGGTGGCTATCCCTGAAACATAATGTGTTTTGAAGTATAATTAAAATTATCATAAATAGAACAGTATTGAACCTTCACTCCTTATGTGTACAATTGACTTTAACGTCCTTGGCAGTAGGTATGTATTTGCTGCATCATTACATGGAAAGAATATTCACTGATGAAAAAGTCCTCTCCAACTTGAAAGAAATGTTTTCACATATCTCTGTGAGTATCAGTAACCTGGTATAAGACCTTCTTTCCTATGTCCTGACAAAAGTTTATACAGCACTTTGACTCTTGGTATTTTACAAAAATGTATGCATTTGGGCTATAGCAATGCAATGCAACATATAAACATATTTTCTGAGAAGCATGTTTTGTTAAAAAAAATAAAACAAACAGGCTTTCAAAATAGATGCTGCATCATAAAGTTTAAGTATGTATGGATTTTCTATACATAATCCTTCAACATTCATCTTCTATGTGAATATGGGCAATCTTCAATTTAAATGGAAATAACATAAACTAAAATTTTAAGATTTTACCTAAAATTTGCAAAACTCAGTAATGTTTTAATAACAAAAACCTTATCTATGTACTATCTAGGATATGTTTTCAGACATGTTAATCTTTGAAATTAAAAATTTTTGTACTCTCCTCCTCCAGAAAAAAAAAAACACCTACAAAAGGAAAAGAAACCAACTGTCCTTCAGAGTGAAATGTAGACTACTTCAAAAAAACAGTTTCCTATATTTCTAGACTTAATGGTCTTATTTCCGCCCTTGGTATATATTCATGTTTAATGAATTTCCTGTTGACTTTAAAAGGAATTTCTACTATAGGCTATTTTAAAAGAATTACCTATTTCAAGCTTTTCCTGGCATGTGGTTAAATCACTTCCTTTGAAGAAACAATACTCAACCTTTTTTTGAAGTTAAAATTTGAATGCGAAATTCAAGCATTGTATTGATTTTAATGGATCAATTTATTTTTCTGTCTTCAACACACCAATCTTTATATCTGTAATTTCTGATTCTGCTTTTATAATTTCTAACTATGTAAACCAATTTCAAAAGATTTGAAAATGGCATATCCAATAGATGAAATGTTTTCTTTGTAAATTAATATAAACCAAATTCTAGATATTGTTGTTATATTTGATACTAATACTGAGTCTAATACAATAGACCTGATTTTTCCATAAACTGGGATTGAGTAGAAAACTACTAAAAGATAACGTTCTGATGAAATTATCTGTGGCAGTAAGTTTAGTGTGCTAACATGCTAAAAATGTTTTTCACATATAAGATTTTATTGTATTACTGGCACTGTTTATCACTTGTATAGATGTATTTTTATTGAAATAAACTTTTTAAAAACTTAAATATATTTAAAGGGGAAATGTAGTCTTCTATATCTTTTTTTTTTCAGTACACATTAAATAGTAAAGTAAAAAGGATCACAGAGTTAAAAGATTACTCAGGTAGCCAAGCATGGTGGCTCACACCTGTAATCCCAGCACTTTGGGAGTCAGAGGCGGGCAGATCACCTAAGGTCAGGAGTTTGAGACCAGCCTGACCAACATGGTGAAACACCAACTCTACTAAAAATACAAATTAGCCGGGTGTGGTGGCAGATGCCTGTAATCCCAGCTACTTGGGAGGCTGAGGCATGAGAATCTCTTGAACCTAGGAGGCGGAGGTTGCAGTGAGCCAAGATCGAGCAAGATTGTGCCATTGCACTCCAGCCTGGACAACAGGAGTGAAACTCTGTCTCAAAAATAAATAAATAAATAAATGAATAAAATAAAATTACCCAGGAATCACTTAAAATTATCTAAAGTATCACCACTGAGTTGATGGGAAAAAATTTGTGCATTACAAAACTTGCCCTTTAATTTGCAGGGGTTTCAGGTTTTAAGTAGGAATCATCAACAACATGATCAAAAATTCTTCTGCTTCATTATTTTCAAATTGTATACACAGTGTTCTCTATACAGTGTATTAATCATTATAGAGTATAATTCAGTATGCTGCATTTATATTTTAGAGCTTTTTTTTTTAGGGGTAGAGGAAGAGGTTGGCATTGGCTGCTAGGTGAGGTTGTAAATGAAGAAACAATATAACCTCGTTAGTTTGTCCTATTCTCATGGCATGAACTTTGTAATACCTTAGAGAAAAAGAGAAAGTTAAAGCTGATTTCAGCTTAATTCTAGATCTCCTCCAAATGGCATTAAAATAGTTTATAACGTGGCTGGATATAATAGTATTCATGGTGGTTTGTTATCCAAATTTGTAGCTATTCTTTTACCAGGTATTTCTGTCGCTATTTCTCAGTTTCTCACAACACTGCAATTCT
This sequence comes from Homo sapiens, assembly GCF_000001405.40. Taxonomy (NCBI): domain Eukaryota; kingdom Metazoa; phylum Chordata; class Mammalia; order Primates; family Hominidae; genus Homo; species Homo sapiens. The sequence goes on from NC_000002.12 coordinate 188,322,608, forward strand.
TCTCTACCTTTGTTATTTCAGCTGTTTTATAAAGGTTTATTTTGGAAATGTATATTGACTACAGTTTCTTGTGCCACTCTCACTTAGCTCTTTGTGGTAAAGGTCACATTTATTTGAAGTTGTAGACTTTATGGCTGAGTAGTACGTCAAAGCCAGCCAGTGTGCATTCCCACTACTTCCCTGACCCTGACTTTGGCCTTCAATACCTCTTGCCTGTGGTTTGAAATTCTTTTCTCCCAGTCTTAGGTATTTTCTCACTCTTGTTCATGGCAGCCCTGATCATGTTTTATTCTGGCCAAAAGCCTTCAAAGTTCTGCCTTTTGTCAAGACCTCTTTATCTTTACCCTCTATTTGCTCTACCATCTGCACTGTGCTTATGTTCTCATTCCTCCCCCTACTTGATACAAACTGGACAATCACTGCATCCTTAGGAGATTTTACCTTTGCGTTTGCTGTCCTTTCTTCTCTTCGTTGAGTTTTCCTAAAAACCAATATAAATTTATTTGTCTGTAAATATCGACACTCTTCCAGATCCAGCTCACATTTTGCCTCTCACCTTAAGCTGCTTGGGTTCTCTTTTAATCCTTTGCAGACAGAGTGAATATCTCCTCTTCTCCCTGAATTGCCATTGTACTTCCTGCGATTTTATTTTATTTCATTGTATTTTACTGTGTTGTAGCTAGATTGCAATCTCAGCACAGAAGAAAGGCATGGGTTTTAGAGTCAGGTATATCTAGTTTTAGATCTGTTCCCTTTGTAACTGCCCTGAACATAGGCTGTGCTGTGGTACATATTCTTTTATATTCTAGGGACTCCACTCTTTGCATGCACAGTTGCAGTTGGCAATAAATGTTTAAAGGATGAATAACCACTTATTCATGAAGGACTGTTATTTTAATATTTATTTAAACAATATCCTGAAGAATCCTCAATTTTTTTGCTGCCCACAGAGAAATCACTTCCTTCTCCAAAAAGTGTGCAGTTAAGGAGTTTGTGAGTGCAAATTGAATGAAAATGTGCCATTAAGGAGATATCTGAAGATATGTGTGTGTGTGTGTGTGTGTGTGTGTGTGTGTGTGTGTATGTGTGTACAAAGTTAGGGAAAGGGAAGTTTGCTTTTACTATCACTGTTTTCCTATTTTTTTTTTCAGTTTTGTATGTGCTCATTAAATGTAGTCATTTAGAACTATTATAGCTGTGGTCACTTATGAATCCTAAGGCCAATTTCAAATTTTTAAGTGGAGGGGATTGCTGGCGTATCCTCTCAATTTTGCTCTCTCCTCTATGATTTACCTTCTGGGCAGCAAGATACTAGACAAGAAAAATGTCACAAGTTTGCAAATAGGCTATGTGAAAAGTTTTATTAATTTAAATAATTGTGTCATATAGTTAGGCTCCTGAATATACTAATTTGCTTTTATGCCTTCTTATATTTTCAAAACCATGTGCTTAGCATAGCAAAATTTAGTGCTAGATATATTTGTCTTAAACTTAGTCCAAGGGCCTAATGAGAGGAATAAGAAAATAAGGATTTAATTATAAGACATCCTAATGTCTAAAGAAGGCCCTCAGTCAGAACCCTCATGCTACTCATGCACAGAGATGTCTGTGATTACTCTGACCACTCTTCTTGTGTTTACTTAGGACTAAATGAGTAAATGACTGAATGTCAGCACTATTAATTAAATTTGTTGTAGAGTCTCTGATGCCCCTGAATCATTTTCCAGGGAACATGCTGTTACTAAGCCTCTAAAAATAATTGCTTAGTGAACATATAAAATGCCCATAAACTTTTCAATGCTCTATCTTCAAGAAGAATAATATTCAGAAGAGCCTTCTTTTAAATGACAAATGAAGATTTTTCCCTCCCTTATTAGATGCCTGTACATTTTAAGTTGAACTTTAAAGACATTGAATATAGTGACTTAAGAACCTTTAAGTTTTTACTTCAGCTTAAGTATTTAAACAATTTAAATTGGTATTTAAGAAATATTTAAAAAGTTAAATCAAATATTAAATAAATTAAATATCAATTTTATTATAATACCCTCCCTTATTAGATGCATGTATTATTTCAAGGGTTGAAATATCAATTTTATTTAGAAGTGTAGGCTCATTATGTTTCAAATTTGAGGAAAGACATGAGTTTTCAGATTGACATTACACTCTGAGTAAAATAAAGATAAATCTAAATATAGACACATCATGATAAAACTACAGAACCTAAGGAATTAGGAGATGATCTCAAAGGAGAGAAAGACATTATCTACAAAGGAAGAAGTATCAAAACACAGAAGTCAGAAGACATTGGTATAATGTATTCAAGCACTATTAGAAAACAACTGTCAACCTGGAATTGTATACACAAGTAGTCTCATTATAGAATGAGTGCAAAATAAAGATATTTTCAGACACATACACACACACCCACACCCACACAAAAGAAGTGTAGGCTTATTTCTAATTTACTGAAGTCAATCACAAGTGTATTGGTGCTAAATGAAGCTACTGCATACCGAAACATTTATTGATATATAGTTTCCAAAACTCAGTGAAGATATTTGAATATTTGTAAAAGAGATTATACCAAATCATGTTGATAGTCTAATTTGGGAGAATCTGGACCATCCAAGCTTGCCAGAAATGTATGAGGTCATAACAGTACTTGATGAACTCCTTAGAGAATGCAATGCAATTTCTGATTATATTTCAGACTAGTGGCTTTGAATATACCAGAGTTATTAAAAGGAGGACAAATAAAATTTTGCTGTTGTTACTTCATGCCTTGTTCAATCTCGTGTTAAGTCTAGCCAACTAGAATTACTTAAAGTTTGATTTGTTGTTTCTGTCAGAAAAAAGATACGATATTCGTGATTTAAGCAAAATATTTTTTTCTGATTTGGGTGGTGATAATAAAACAAAACATTCTGGTGAATTTACTTTTTCATTATTAGTAATTATTATCCTAGCTATAATTTTTTATGTTTAATTTATAGGACCACTATGGAAATTTGTAGACCGGTAGAGCCAGTATATTCTAAAGCTTCTCTTGGCTTTTTATCCTATCTCCCTTTGAGGTAGTTTGACTAATAGGGCAGGGAATAAAGAGAGAATGGCAGTAACTCTCATGGGGCTTGACTAGGATAGAATCACTAGCCAACCTTCTTACTTGGCACATTGACACCACTTTTATGTAAAGGTGAATTTTAGTCTGAAAATTATGTAATGAGCATAAATGTTTATCAGCACTTAACTCTTCATAGATCCTTGATTTCTGAGCCTCTGAACCAATGCTTTTGTTGCCACTCATTTAGTTATTATTCTTGTACGCATTGTTGCAAGTGATAGAACAATGTAGCAGTAATATATTTTCCGTATCCTTAAAATATAGTTGCAGAAGAATTGTGTTTATTACTTTCTTTGCAGTATTCTACTATACCAGAGTGGGTTTTTAGTACTTCCTGACTGCTTTAAATGATGATTAACCCTACTCATCTTCTCTGCTTCATTTTTGTTAGCTTATTCTTTAAATCTGTTGGATCAGAACCTAGCTCACCTGGTGGGATACTTGAGGTTTTCTATATTTTACATTATGCATATTAAGTCCAGATCTAATATTTCATTATACATACTATCTGTGTAAGCTTTAAGAGTTTAATGATAAATTAATAACAGATATTTTATTATTTTGTACATCTACTATTGAATATTTGATACTTTACTATCTTTAATTATTAGCAAAATCCTGCAAAAATAAGTGAAATGTTTTACAGATTTAAAAATGAGGCTAAGAGGATTAAAATAGTTTGCCTTTTAGATAGTAATACCTTCCTTATTGGGTTAATGTGAGGATTAAGATACATATCTGAAGCAGCTCACCCAAAGCCTGGCACCGAGTAGCCCCCCAACAAATGAAAATTGTTGTTGCTGTTGTGACTCTTATCAGTGCCAATGTCTGAGCTAGTGGTATAGCTGTGGTTCTGTCTGATCTGAATCTAAAATCTATGTTGACTATATTTGATACCTTTTGAATTTAAATTCATTGAACACTTGATATAGTTTTATTTATTCTTCTTATGTAGCAGTGTTCTCAATTATTTCAAAGAAGTCGTGTTAATGACCTTCTGGAATACGTTTCCATTATTGGCTTTAGCTTCCAAAGCAGTCCAGTAATGATTAGGGCTGACATCATGTTTCATACTGATGACACTCTTCCTAGAAGCTCTGCAACAGATGGTGGCCTTTGTGTAGACTCAGCACAGTTCTCCTGGACTATGCTCCTGACTCAGCAGAATTCAGCAGACAGTCTGTACAAGGCATCGGTCTGTGGTGGAGAGACTTATCTGGAAAACTAGCAGGGAAAAAGATGCTAACTAAAATGGGTCGAGGGCTCTAGCTGAACTCTATTCTCTGTGTGGCATTTTGTGTCAGACTTAAAAACCATATGGCCAGAAAGCTCTTTCACTGTAGGGCCAGTTAGCAAATAGCCTGGTGTCAGATTCTAGATAAAGCACAAGTTTACATTTTGCATTGAGAACATTTTTATCTGAGGCCTCTGTGTTTTACAAATGCACATGTGAAGGCAAGATGCCTACTGTACAGAACATGCAATTGATGAATGCCCTAGGGAATAAGATAAGGAGATGAGATTCCTGTACCAACATAGGGCTCTTTGTTTCACAAGTTTTCATCATTTTGGACAGGATTATTTGAATCTGGCAATAGATGGACAAGGCTCTGCTCTGCTTGTGCCTGTAAATTGGGAATTATTTCTTTGTGACATATGGGAACATTTCTTTGGGGGAAAAGAGAAGTGTGTTTACTTTTCTAATGCTCCTTACAAGTTTCCTTGGGACTGGTCAGATGACAAAACTGTCAGTGACAGGACTGAGACTGTAGAGGCTATTTACTATGAAGTTAATGGACCACAGGCTTCAGGGCTCCTTATTTTTTCAGGCTGTGTCCAAGACCCTGCATCTTATTCACATGACCATATGTAACATTTGCAATTAAGATGATTTAAACATAATCAGGTTAAACTGTGCACTTCTACTCCTATTTGTCATATTTCTTTTAGTGTAAAAAATGGTGTTAGAGTGGACATGGACAATTTTGAATTCTGGCTAATGGGATGCTGAGTTAGGGATACATTTATTTTGCACTTAGTAGAATATTTTGGTGTGAGCCATATGAAAGTGGCATTTTTTGAGGTTGAAAATGATGGAGCACTGACAATTTCACATGGCCAACCTAATATTTATGGTGGTTCAAAATTAGTTCAGTGTATAATGAAGTTATTTCTGCTGTTCTGGTAAAGAAATATCTCCCAGGAAACTTCCTACTTCTCCCACTGCTTCCAAATGATCCTACATGCCCAGAGTGATGAGTAAAAGTACATACCAAGAGGTCATTTTGTAATATGTATGTGTCTGAGAGCATCTGGTACCAAAAGCATTTGGAGAGAGAGGAAACACCACCATCACCACCACTTTGATCTAGAATTGGAGAGCAATCATAATAACATATCTGATTACCTTTCACAGGAAAAGGAGTGTAATAGGATGAAAATACATTGTAAGATGGCTATGAGGTTATATTTCTAGGGTTAAGATTAGAGCACATTTCAGAAACCTTATAGCAACTTAATCTCTCTATTTCCATTTCTCTCTATCTTCTCTCAACCTTGTTTATTCCCATCTTCCCTTTCAGGAAAATGAAGACAGTCAGGGATCATCAATAAATGAGATTCGTCTCTTAATGAAACTGGGAGTGGATGGGGAAGACCTTTTCTAGGGATATCTTCTAGCGTTTTTCTACTTCTGTTTCTCTTAATGCCATATTATCCTGGTTGCTATTTTGCCTCGCCAACTGAGGTGGCCTAGGAGGTGCTACTAGAATCAGCAAAAATATATTGCTTGCTAATTAATTATCCTTCAACATAAATTCCTCAGTTTTCACAAGTAAAACAGATGTTTGCTCTTCTGCCCTATGGTTTTATCTTTTCCTTTAGTTGCATCAGCTTTGGGGAGTCTGAGAAGCTGTAACAGAATAAGTAATGTTTTTCTGATTACTGCATACAATGAGTTCTAAATGTCACAAATAATTTACAAAATCAAGGAATTGCAGATTCACCTAATGTCTGTTTCTTAAAGAGCTTTTCTTTAATAAACTCTTGCCAGGGGGATGGAGTGTCCTATGAGAGGCCTTACTTGGTTTATTCATGATGAATATGAGTATACACGATGAATACTTAAACATTTAATACTATCTTGCCTTTTGGAATATAACACATAAACATACCTTCTTTTCCACTTTTTAGAAGTCAGAAGCATCTATGATACGGATCAAACATCATGAATCAACTCATAAATCACTTGCAATGCAAAAGGGTCTCGGGACACTCACTGCATTTATTCTCTGTATTTATTCTCACTGTATTTATTCTCTCAGCTTCTTTTTCACAGGTGGTCTCAGGCTGTCTGCTTCCCTCCTTCAATCATCAGTATTTTTCTCAAGGCAGCCCTCTCTATTGGACTCTTTTTTTTTTTGAGTTTCTGTTATCTTCTCTTCCTCTTCTTCCTTCAGGCTGGAGGAGGCAATAGCACTATTATTACCATGCCAATGGTTCTATATTTTACGTTCTGGTTTTATTACATCCCTCTTGTACCCTTGTAAACAGTTCTTTATTCAACTGCACTGTTTGTCTGAATTTAATGCAGCACCCAATTCCTGGGATCCTGACTGATAAGGATGCTAGTCTAGGAATAGGTAGTCTAGGAATAGGTTTGACATTATCAGTGACATGTGAAGTAGGTGAAGAAAAAAGCCATGGAGGTGTGTGGGGGAAAGAACCATCTGCATAGAAAAACAGTAGCTTTATTCTTGGAATGTTGGATTGACAATGAAGTGGACTGGGTGGCTGAAATGAAGTGGGAGAGAAGTAGGAAATTAAGTCAGAGAGGTAGTAGAATGAGGTGGGAAGATCACAGAGTGCCTTTATAGGGCATATACTCAGAATGAGATTAGAAATTAGCGGAGGTGATGATAAGCTTATAATGTGTCACTTTTGCTACTATTTGGAGAATAATCTCTATGGGGACAAAGATGGAAGCAGGGAGGCCAGTTAGGAGTCTGTTGAGAAAGGCAATGGTGATTGTAGAAGCAAAGATAGTGAGAAGCGATGGGGTTCGTGATGTATTTTGGCAAGATGGGGACAGGATTTGCTGATGGATATAGGATATTAAGAGAGGAATCTAGAATTATGCCAAGTTTAGCAACTGGGTGGATGGATCTGTCTTTTCTGATAGGAGAATAGTCATTGGAGGAAGAGTTTAGGGAGAAAGATCAGGAATTTGATTTTGTACCTGTTAACTTTGAGATGCGCCAAAGTAGTTGTATTTAGGCAGTTCATGGGAAATGTGTAGGCTAGAGATACAAATTGAGGAGTCGTCATCATATAGGTAGTATTTAAAGTTATGAAACATACTCAAATTACCTAGGCTGTTGATTCTCAAATTATTTAGTTGGATATTTGTAAATATAGTTTTCACTGTAAATATATGGTGGTTAGGTCATTTCAGTCAGCATTTAAAATAATTCTTAAGATTAGGTAAGTATTTTATAAAAATAAACTTATCTATTTTATAATTAGCAAGTATACTACCTAAGTACCTATAAATAGGTATATCCATAAAATACTGACATGTCTATGTAAACTCAGGTAGACATATAAAGTATGTATAACACAAGAACTATGTTTGAAAATATTATTTGTCTTTTTGGTGGGCACTTTTAAATGTCAGAAAGTGAGAGTAATCACTGATTTTCCTGCCAAACAGAATTAAATTACAACTCTGAGAGGAGAACATAAGGAGTGTTATTGCAGCTATCCTTGAAATGTCAGACTGCTTTTAAAATGTGATTATTTTAAGCCCTTTGTTTACACTGTGGCATCTTTATATGTAAAAAAATTTAAACACTTGGGCATTCTGTGATTTATGTCTAACTTTTAGTATTTTGAATAAAAGGCAATTTGCAATAGTAAAGAAATCTTTATTACCAAAAACAGTAGACTAGGAGTCAGAAGTGTGGATTTCTAGAATATTTTGTCACCAACAAGCCATGTAAATTTATAATACTGAACTTCTCTGGGCTTCGTATTCTTTGTTTGAAAATGAAAAGGTTCATCTGGATTACTGGTGTTTCCACAGTTCCATAGATGTCTCTCTCTCAGCTCCCCCGACAATGGGTCAGGTATGCCAAAGATGCCTGGGTCCTTCACTCTGTTTCAACCAGAGCCTTGAGCTTTTACTTGTTCTTTGTTAGTGCTACTAAGAAGATGTTTTGAACCACAAGATCACCAGTTAAATGGTCTTAATCTTGTGTAGGAAAAAAAAGTTTCAATTAGTTATGTACCAAGTTTTTGTTAGATTTGAGAGCTGCCTTATGACTAAAGCACTCCCTACAAAACATATCCCGCTAATTTCACAACCATCTTCCCAGGTAACTATTCTTTTTGTTTTCTTTTTCTTTTTGTCTCTGAAGTATAATTGAGCCTTAGCATTCTTTAATTATAGAGTCTTAGGATCTTACAGTTGAGACAGGCCTTAGAAATAATCTCTTTCAGCCTCTTTCCTGATACAGAATGAACACCACATCCCTGAGACTAGTTATCCAAAATCTATTTGCAGGGTGCCAGGGGCTCATCAACTGGGATGGTAATCCATTCCATTTTGTAATAGCTTTTATGTTTTCTTTTGTGCAGCCAAAATAAATATCTTTCAAACCCCTACTTTTTGGCCATTTTACTGTAGTGATTTGAAAACACTATCTGTGGTTAGTGGCTCTAAATTTACTATACATAAGAATCACTTAGAGCATTAAGTTGAATATTCCAGAACTCCATATCCAAAGATTATTTCAATAGATCAGGGATGGAGTTCAGCAAATTTACATTTTTTGCAAACATTTGATTTGATTATAAATTTAGATTGTTATTATAACAACACATAATCTTGTGGATTGGAAAATTCTGTTATAGTTTGTATAATGTGATTCCATTTTGGTATGTAATGACATTTATGTATTTAAAAAATCCATTTAGGAGGATATCCTCAAAATGTTATCAATGCTTGATTATTTCTGATTGTTGGGAAAATGGACAAATTATACTTTTACTTATTTTTACATTCCTAATGTAAAGATAATGATTTCTACAATTATTACATATAACTTTTATCATTAAAATATTTAATGGGCAACTTATATTTTTACTTGTCTTCATATCTTGTTTCTGTAATGACTATATTGTTATTAAAATGAAAAAAATTTAATGAGTAATTTATCTCCCCACTACTTATCATAAAGATGATTTTGTAGAAGGTAGAGATTTGCAAGGATGACAGAGATGTAGCTCATACGGCAACATTCCTATTGATACTGAGTGTTTTCAGGGTACATTAGAGTAAGGGTCCTTGGGTACAAAATTCTGACTCTTCCAATATTCTCTAAGGGAGGATGATGATAGCATTAATAGTCATCTCATTATTCAGTACAAGGCCATTCCATCGGTCATTTCTTTATTCTTTTTTTTTTTTTTTTTTGAGACAGTTTTGCTCTGTCATCCAGGCTGGAGTGCAGCGGCACAATCTCGGCTCACTGCAACCTCCACCTCCCAGGTGCAAGCCATTCTCCTGCCTCAGCCTCCCGAGTAGCTGGGACTACAGGCATGTGCCACCACACCTGGCTAATTTTTGTATTTTTAGTAGAGACGAGGTTTCGCCATGTTGGCCAGGCTGGTCTTGAACTCCTGACCTTAAGTGACACCTGCCTTGGGCTCTGAAAGTGCTGGGATTACAGGCATGAGCCATCGTGCCAAATCTCATTTATTCTTTTAACAAACACTTGTGTTCCAGGATCTGTGCCAGTCATGAGAGCCAGAAAGAAAAACCTGTGTACCTAATTCCTACTATAGCAGGGGAAGAAAAAGTGGCATAAATAACAGATGTGCTGTCTATGCCTGGGAAGCTCTGGGGTGGTTTCACTGCAGAGTGGCTGAATGAGGGGAATCTTGAAAGTGAGGATCAGTCTTATCCAAGCAGATGTGGGATGGGAGAGACTTTTTCTTTGAAAGGCCCTATGCAAAGCTACAGAAATGTGACCTAGTGTGTTATAAATTCAGAACTGTGAGTAATTTGATATGGTTAGAGCACTGCATACCCATAGGGAATTTCATGAGGTAACTTTGGGTGGAAAAGCAGGATCTCAATTTTGCGGTAACTTATATGCCATTTTAAAGAGCTTGGATAAGTAGCTTCGTCAGCTTTTGTATTGTGGCAGCAGTATGGCAGGTATACACTGAGTGTGGTGGCTCATGCCTGTAATCCCAGCAGTTTTGGGAGGACATGGCTGGCGGATTGCCTGAACCCAGGAGCTCCAGACCAGCCTAGGCAATATAGTGAGACCTCGTCTCTACAAAAAATAAAAACATTAGCGGGGCATGGTGGTGTGTGCCTGCAGCCCCAGCTATTAGGGAGGCTGAGGTGGGAGCATTGCTTGAACCCAGGAGACTGAGGCTTACAGTGAGCCAAGATCATGCCACTGCACTCCAGCATGGGTGACAGGGAGAGACCTTGTCTAAAAAAAAAAAAAAATTTGGCAGGTATACTGAAGGGAATGGCTACAGATAGAAAGACAGATTAGAAGACTATTCTAATACTAAGAAGCATTTTGAGGCAAGCGTTATTAAGGGGTTGAAAATAGTATTCCAGATATTCAAGCAGGTGACAATATTTTGGGCAAATATCTCTTACTAAGTAAGAGGCAATTGGTTTAGGCAAGCCAGGATTAATTCTCTTTGTGTTTTTTGTTTCTAACTCAAAGTAGGTAGTAATTATGTACAGCATCTCTTAATCTGTAAACTCTTATCTTCTCTTTTCTAATCACCCCAAGAAACTATTAATCTTAGCTTAAGGAAAATAAAGGATAACTTTAACTTCCAGTGTCTGTTAAAAGGAGAGTTCATTTTGTACTCCTTAGGGTTGAAGAAGTTGTATGTTAAGAAAAGCCAATTTAGAAGACATGTAATTTTACAATTACTAGTGTTCTCTTACTTGAATTTTAATGACAATACTACCACTCTGAATTTTGTTATGTGCTTTGCCCTCAAGCCTGTGAACAGCAGTTTGAAACCATATGATTCTCTGAGATCTCTCCTTAAGACCAGCTGCAGTTCGGATGTGATCACTCATTGTTCTATAATAAGCAGCTTAGACCCAACTAGCCACCCTTTGGACTGAGACCATACAAAGCTGTTTCTGTCCCACATAGGCAGGGACTCCGTGCACTCCAGGCTCAGCTGCAGGGCCTGCTGAATTAATCAAAGGGTTCTTAGACCACATTCCCTAAAGACTAGGGAATTTCTGTAGTGACTCCACCCCAACGCTGAACTCCTTGCCCTTTTTAAATGTTCTTCTGACAGCTGGGGACCTGAGAGCAGTCTAACTCCCAGAAGATAACTTTGGAAGAGTGTTCCCAAAAGTTTATTGAGGAGAAATGTAGAATTACATGCTCTTTTGCCTGTCAGAATTTATGAAAAAAGTTAATTTGCAATTAATAACGTTGGTAAGCATTCTAGAATATAATAGGCACTGCATTTAGTGCCTTACTTTCACTATGTCACTTAGTTCCGGTAACACCTTATCAGATACTTATAATTATTTCTGTTTTACAAAGGAGGAAATGGAGAGCCTACTGGGATATGGATGTCTGACAACTTAGGACAAGTGGTTCTCAACTCTGGCTACACATTGAAACCACCTGAAAAGCTTTTTTAAAATTCAGACTTCTGGGTCTATAGCAGATAAATTTGATTAAAATCTCTGGGGGTGTGGTCCATGTATAAGAGTTTTAAAACAAAGGAAGCCTTCTCAGGTTGATTCCCATTTGCAGCTAGGATTGACAAGTCTAGTCCTGATGTGTCTGAGACTCATACCTTATCAAATCATGGTCCCTCGCTCAGCAGCATTTGTATCAGGTAGAAATCCAGAGTATTAGGACTGTCCATGACCGACTATATCAAAATCCAAATTGTAAACAGATCTCTAGGCAACTATTTGTATTGCCTTTGCAACTTTTCTGTAATTCCAAAGCTATTATAAAATTAAAATTGTTTATTAGGGGAATAAAAGATCATATTTGGGATAGAAAGGTCAATACCTTTCCTCCAGAAACTCTGTCTAGCAAGAGAGAAACTTATTAAAAGGAATCTGCTACAAGTTGTGATGGAAATAATGCAAAATGTGCTGTCATGGTATAGGAGGAAATGAAAAACGCTGCTTGGAGGAATTAGAGAAAATTGCCAAAGGAAGGTGACTTGAAGGCACTTCAGGCACAGAGAAAGATATACGGAACAATTTTTAAAAGAGAAGTTGCTGATATAAAAGGAATTTAAAAAGGAACATAAGCCTTTGCTTTGATTAAAATGTAATGTTTAATACACATGTGTATATTTTTGATATATCATAAACTGTAACTGAAAATTGAGAATTAGTGCCAGACTAGAAAGGTAATATAATAATTAATGGAAGAGTTTATTTCTCTTTTCTGGGGAAAGCAGAGTAAATTAATTATTTATAACATTAACACTTTTGGCAGGGGGGAAGAGACTTTTTTGATTAATTCTCTCTTCTTGTGGCTGTTGTGACCCTTTTCTCTCTTGATTCATCAGTTTGTTGTATATGCCATGCTTAAATTCTCTACTGGGCCCTTTCAGATGTTTTCTTTGCATTTACAAAGAACTTCTGAGCATATCCAACCCTTTTAATCCTGGTTACCTCATCTTCACCCTACAGCTAGGTTTCTGCTCAGAATCGCTTCTAAAAAGCCCTTGCTAATTATTTGCAGTGTGGATTGGGTACCATTCTTTTGGGTCCCCGTAGCATCCTGTATACATCACATTGCTGCAAATTTTCGTTTTCTCTGTTTCTGTCATTAACTAATAAGTACCTTGAAGGCAAGGGCTATTTTCAGTGACTTCCGTGTCTATAGTACTTTGCATAGGATTTGACGCAAAAAAATGCTTTGAAATAATCCCTTCAAGTGACAACAAAAGCCTATTTTTGCCCTTAGTTTATAGTAACAAGATAATCTTTGGAGATGGCAATTAAAGATTGAAATGCAGTTAGCATTAGGAGCTAGCAAGAAACTTAGAGACTTCAACTTGTATGTAACACATGCCTGGCATAAAGCAGAATTTTGGTTGTGTGAAAGTGGGAACACTCTCATTTTATACATGAGGGCTTTCTGATTTAGATTATGTTACAGATATGTCTCCCTTAGCATATTATTAAGAGAATATAAACTCAGATATGGATATCATTGTTCATAAATTAATAATAATTGTATACCTTCCAATTATGAAATACCTATGCATGTTGTGTTATAAAGTGCTCTTTACATATATGATTATATTTAATTCTCTGAAAAATCCTAAGCAGGTTATATTAGATTGGGGGGCACAGACTTGGACTTAGAAATGTATAATTATAAAACGCATGTTTTTTCCCTAGTCAATGTCCTTTCTGCTCTGCCCTGCTGCCTTTCTTTAAGAAGCAGCTGAAACTTCTGATATTTTTCTCTTCCAGGAGATTGCGTGGTTGGGAATCAAGAACTTGCCCTTTGATCACTAATTTACTGTGTGATTATATACAAATCACTGAGCCTCTCTTTCTCAGTCTACATGTTTGTGAAATGGGCCTATTGAACTATATCATGAATTTATTCTTATGCAACATATATTTGAAAGCCTGCTATGAGCCAGATACTGTTCTAGGTGCTGAAGATACAGCATCAAAAAGGACAGACAAGATCCCTAATCTCACAGAGCTTTCATTATGGCATATCAGGCTGAAAATAAACATATTAAATAAAATCATGTAGTGATTAACATCATGAAGCAGATAAATGGAAAAACAAGGAAGAATGTGGCTGGAGTGTCCTGGAATGTGGTGGGAGACATCCATGGATGAGGTGGTCTGGAAAGTCTTCACTGAAGAAATAACATTTGGTATCTGAGAACAAAGCAATAGTTAGCATGAATATATGTGGGCATGTAGATTTGAAGGCTGAAGGAGGCTCAAGGCTAGAAATTCTAAGGCTATAAAAGTTTTGCTTATAGGAGGACCACTAAAAGACTAGTGTAGCTGGTGGGAAAAGTGGCAGGAGACAAGGTGAGAAGTTGGCAGGTCTAGATCATGGACTTATAGTCAATGGTTTCAGGCTGTTTCTCAAACACCAGTGTGCAGATACTCTAGGGCAATCCATGATAATTTTTTCATATCTTTGATGCCTTTGTTACCTTTGACACCTTTGATAATTCCTTCCAACTCTGTGATACCTTTCATGGTTTTAGAAAATCTTTCCTTGTGAGTAGTTTCCCAGAATAGAAACCAGAAACTTGCTTCTCCTATAAATATATCTGTATCTATATCTATATCTATATCTATATCTATATCTATATCTATATCTATATCTATCTATATATTTTTTTCTTTCCAAAGTCTTGTTCTGTCATCCAGGCTGGAGTGCAATGGTAAGATCTTGGCTCACTGCAACCTCTGCCTCCCGGATTCAAGTGATTCTTCTTTCTCAGCCTCCTGAGTAGCTGGGATTACAGGCATGCGCCACCACGCCCAGCTAGTTTTTGTATTTTTAGTAGAGATGGGGGTTTCATCATGTTGACCAGGCTGGTCACGAAATCCTGACCTCAAGTGATCCACCCACCTTGGCCTCCCAAAATGCTGGGATTACAGATGTGAGCCACCGCGCCCGGCCCTCCAACTTCTTTTGCATCTAGAATGCAGGCATATGACCCAGGCTCTGTCAGTGAGCTACAAATAGGTACCTAACACTTTGAACTGGAAATTAGTGACAAAAAACAAGGCCCATGCAATAAATCCGGTGATGATAGTGGAAGCTACACTTTGTTACCAGGGAAAGCCATGGTAGAGCTTATAAAATAGTGTGTTGTACCCAGATCTTGGTTAGCAAAGTAGACTTTGGTGAGTGTGCCTGGTGATGGTAGTCGTGCTGAGCTCACAGAACCAGCTTTATATTGTTATTTCAGTCTATTCCTGACTGCACAGCCTGGTTCTCTGGCCACCTTGGAATTTCTATAAGTCTGTAATATCCTTCCATAAATTTCTTTTTTACTTAAATTAACTAGGGTCCATTTACATTGTTTGTGAGTAAGAACTCTGTGCCAAAGCCTTGAACTTGAAAGGAAGGGACAGGGAGATTTCCTGTCTGTGTCCGAGAAGCACTAGATCCATGAGATTAATTCCAACTCTAAATTCTTGGGCTAATTTCTGGACAAAAATGAACTGGAGATGTAAATTCTGCTTATTTCAAAGTCCTGTTTTCCGTATTTGTATTTTCAAAATTAGTATTTGTAATTCCTTTAATTATAAATTAAATTCCTTTAATTTAAAGAGCAGGTTCTTGTACAAAGATACTACCTTCCCTCTAGATTTAAGATCTTACTAGGCTCCTCAATATATCATTGATATATCATTGATGAACAATTCCTCTCTGAGATCACCCCTCATTGGTACAACTGAAGTATTTAATTATTAACCACAATCTTAAGAATATATTTGTTTTTGGGGAAAACAATTTTTTTTTTTTTTTTTGAGTCAGAGTCTCACTCTGTCTCCCAGGCTGGAGTGCTGTGGTGAGACCAGAGCTCACTGCAGTCTCCATCTCCCAGGGCTCACTGCAGTCTCCATCTCCCAGGCTCAAGTGATCCTCCCACTTCAGCCTCCCAAGTAGCCGGAACTACAAGTGCATCCCACCACACCCAGCTAATTTCTAAGTTTTTTGTAGTGACGGGGTCTTGCTCTGTTGCCAGGGCTGGTCTTGAACTCCTAGGCTCAAGCAACCCTCCCACCTCGGCCCTTCCAAAGTGCTGGGATTACAAGTGTGAGCCACCATGCCTACACTTGGAGAAATTTTTGATGTCTGTTTAGTAATAATACTTTCAATAAAATATGTCATCAGCATTTTATGAAGTCAGCTATATTGCATCTGAGAAACGGCTTCTAAAATTTATGTGTTTCTTAGTAGCTGTACAAGAGTAAGGTGAAAATGTGTTTATAATTTTCACCACTCCCATCTGTCCAGTACTAGTGCCAGGCTAATCTCAGAAGAATTGTTAAAAAGGTAGCTACTTCTCTAAAATGACTTTCCATTTTCACCTCTTTGGCTACCCTTCCACTCTGTGTGGAAGTTCTGAATCTTCACCAACTACTGACAGTTTTATTTCCTAGAAGTTATTCTTATAATTGTAGTTAAGTTTTTCTTTTTTATTGACATGTTGGGTACAATGCTCTTTATGATGACTACTAGCAAAGAAAATCCATCTTCCAGTGCCTCTGTAGGTAAAAATGGTGATTGACTCCTAGAAATAGTTAGCTTATTGTTTACCTTGATGAAAATTGCTTAATTTTTACAAATAGAAGACATGAGGTACTCTTATTTTTCTTGTTTAAAGGCCAGTTTTCTATGATACCAGTATACACATTTAAAAGCAGCTCACTTTGAATATCAGTTTAAAAGCAGATATTTGACTTGAAATGTCTTTGTGTGAGATGTTATCATTAGACTTATGCAGATTTAGGCTTGGCTTTGCTTGTGAATTATCAGAGACTTTCTGTTTAGATGATGCTTTGTCAGTATGTTTTTGGTGTTTCAAGTTTATAGTCACTTGAGCATTATCACCTAGGGATATTCTCTTTGTCATTAGATGGGTTTTAGAGATGCTTTGGATGGAAAATTCTCACCCTAGAACATCTTTTTGGCTGTCTTGGTTTCCCCCTTTTGTTTTAAGACATGGTATACATTTTTAATTATACATTACTTAAAAACTAAGGTTGGAAATGCACATTTGTTGTCTCATTGGGGAAGTTTTGAGAAATTGAAGTTAAATCCTCAGCATTTGCAAAAGAATACCATATTTCCTGCATAGCCTGTAGAACCATTAGCCAATTAAACCTGTTAAACTAAGGTTTCAAAATAACCATCATTCTAGGTTATGGGTACATGAAGGTTTACTATGTTTTCCTGTCTGCTTTGTCTTTTGATATATTTGATTTTCTACATAATAAAAGCTTAAAAAGAAAACATTATATGTTAGTTTAATGTAACCCTGTGACCTAGGCAATTCACTGGGCTTCTTTGAGCTTCAGCATCCTTATTTGTAAAATAGGAATCACTGCCTCATTTATAGGATTAGGATTTTATCAGAAAATGAATGCTCTAGTGTTCCAATGTGGACTTTAAAGTACTGTTCACTTGTTGAGTATTAATTAAAAAGGACTTTGTGCAAGTGTCACTCAATATGGATGAACCTAAAAAGAACGAGAGAGATTTGTATAATTGTTTTTTGTATTAAAATAATGTAGGATCATAGAATCTAAGAGAGGGGATGGACTACCTTTAGGAGGTGGTCACTTACGAAATGATGAAATGAAAGTAAGCATAACTTGGGGCAAGGAACCCTTCAGTTTCTGTGTTAGAGAAGGGAATAGTGAACTTAGTTAAATATAGATGATGTTAGGTCATTTTCATATTGCTATAAAGAAATACCTGAGACTGGGTAATTTATCAATAAAACAGGTTTAATTGGCTAATGGTTCTGCAGACTATGCAGGAAATATGGTACTGGTGAGACAGGAAATTTTTCTTGACCCCTTCACAGGCCTTGCAACAGGGGTGCCTTGCTTACTCAGCCCATAGCTCTCTACCCCTCGCGGGAGGGGGAGATGCAGATGAGTGGGTGCAGGAGTTGGGGCAAGTGCTTCTGGGCACCAGCAGGAGCAAAACTCTGTGTGGGTCTGCAGGGCAGCATCTGTTGGGGAGTACTCATGACCCCTGAAGCCTCAGAGGGCTTGTGTTGCCATGTGCTCTTTTAGCTTTGCTGTCGTGGATGACTTAAGTGTTAAATAGCTCAGTAGGCCCTCTGTCTTTTTGTGTGAGGTGATTGCTTTCTGCTAGTGAGGGCAGAGGGTAAGTATGACAGCCTTTAGCATCAGCACCCGTCACACCCGAGCTCTTTTTCGGCATCCGGGAAAAATCAGATCGCACAAACGAATTGAAGGGTGGTGAATGCAGAGGACTTTATTGCCCATGGAGGTGGCACTCAGTGGGAAGGGGAGTTGGAAAGGGGAGGGAGCGGGAAAGTATTCTTCCCGTGAAGAACAGTCATTTCTGGCTGGACTGAACTCTGAAGTCACGCCATCAAGCCGTCTCTCTGAAATCAATCTGCTTCTCTCCGACATTCAGCTGTTTCTTCTTTTCTCCTCTTCTCTGCTCTCTGCCAGTGGAGCCTGGGGTTTTTATGGGTACAGGATAGGGGATGGGACAGGTCAGGGGTGGTTTTGGAAAAGGCAGCTTTTGAATGGGAAAACAGGAATGCATGTTCTCACTTTGGGCTGTGGTTCCGGGCTTGAGAGGTGGGGCTTCACCAGGGACCCTGACCTTTTCTGCCTAGAATTTCTTTGCCTCCTGTTCCTATCACTGGCATCTACTTGGCTTCCGGGGAGACCTCAGGGAGCTTTTACTCATGGTAGAAGGTGAAGCAGGAGCAGGCACATCGCATGGTGAAAGCAGGAGCAAAAGACAGAGAGGATGGGAAGGTGCCGCACACTTCTAAACAGCCAGATCTCATGAGAACTCACTGTCACAGCACAGTGCCAAGGGGATGATGCTAAACCATTCATGAGAAATCCACTCCTGTCATCCAATCACCTCCCACAAGGCTCCACCTCCAATATTGGGGATTATAATTCAACATGAGATTGAGATGGGACAGTTATCATCATAAAGGATAACTGTTTCTTTGTTGGGGGACATCCTTGATACTGTCTTATTTAATACCAGTTTTGCTGCCTGCTGGAGAAAAAAGACTAGACTGGCTTCTCCGAGAGTCTCAGGGGAATTTATATCTGCTATAAAGGATCGATTTTCAGACAATACATTATGAAAACTTAATTCTAACTAATAGCAGATAACATTTATTCAGAGCTTACTGTGTGCCAAGAAATGTACAGTTTTTAATATAAATTATCACATTTCTTTCTCAAAAGTACATAATTAAAGATTGCTTTTTTTTCATTACATGGATGAGATAGGAAATTATGGCTCAGAGAGGTTAATACTTTGCCTAAAGTCATAAAACTAAAAAAGTGATAGAACTAAGAATAGAAATTGCTAGTCTAACTCTACAACTTGTGGTTTGTATTATACCATATTGGGCTCTTTACAGCAATTAATTCAGTCTAGGCACTTAACTTTTTTTGTTTTCTTACCTCTTTCTATACACTCCTTTAGTGTGCTATATGAGCAGATATATTTGAGATTTTATTATAACAGTCCTAAAAGTCCATTTTTAGAAGTAGAAAGAACATAAACAAAAATATATCAATACATGTAAGTGATTAAATATTGGGTTAGTAATGGCTAGAAGTGCTATAACAAATACCATACACTTGGTGGCTGAAAGCAGCAGACATTTATTCTCTCACAGTTCTGGAGGCCGGAAGTTCAAAATCAGTGGTTGGGTTGGTTTGGCAGGGTTGGTTTCTTCTGGAGGCTCTGAGGGAAAATCTGTTTCACGAGTCTCTCCTAGCCCTTGGTGGTGGCTGGTAGTCCTTGGCACATGGCTGCATGACTCTAATCTTTGTCTATACCTTCACATGGTTTTCCTCCATGTCTCTTTGTGTCTCAGATCTCTCCTTTTATAAGGACACTGATCATCACTGGATTTAGGGCCTACCCTAAATCCAGGATGATTTTATCTGAATTTTTTTAACCTTATGAAGTACATCTACAAAGAGACTATTTCCAGATAAGGTCACATTCACAGATACCGGGGGTTAGGACTTGGACATATCTTTTGGGGACCACTATTTTTAAACCATACTATTTTGAGCATTTGTATTAAAGAAACAGATGAGAGAATACAATACAAACTTGGGTTTCATATCATCTCAATTCACAGATTACTTAGTTTTAAGTGTGTTTTATAGAAGAATGTTATTGTATGTACATTATCTTAATGCCACAGCTATCCTCCAAAGATTTTAGACTTAAATCTCATTTTCGTTTTGCTACTTCTCTAGTAAAAATGTGTGCTGCTCTATATCTTTCTGTTATTCCCAGGATATATACTATTACAGATGTACTTTTAGTTCCTCATCACTTGAAAATTTGATATTTGAAATTTCTTCTAAGGGACTCTAAATGGTAAAAATATAACACATATTTCAGTCCTAAAACAGTTACGTAGACTGCTTCATGATATAAAATGCTACTACTAAATTTAGTGAAGAGATAATGAATTCAAAAGATTGTCATGGCAAAGAAAATGTAATAATATTTGGTGATTGACTAAAATTGGAAGCACCTTAGAGAGAAAAGACAAAGACACACTAAAGTTGACATCAGACAAATCTGGATGTTATTCTCAGCATTTTGCAAGTTCTGTTCCTCTACAGAGTGGAATAGGAAAAAAAAAACATAGAATAAAATGCATGGAAGGGTGACCACAGCCTGTTGATTCTTAATAGCCTTGGAGAGGATAATTCATGAAGAAATGTGGACAGCAAATTTTGAAAGTGCTTTTAGATATAAAAATAAGAAAACCAAGAAGGATAGGTGATCTATACATACTTAAAGCAATCAATACTTTTTTTTTACACAAAATTAAAATGTTTGATTTTAGACAGTGTAGTGGCACATTAGGGAGGCGATGTTAACTGAACAATAAAAGCTTGTAGTGTACAGTTAGAGTAGACGTCCTCTTATCTGATAGCATCGTGACTATATAGTTTATAAGGTAATAGTAAAAGATCCTTAAAGCGAATTACAAAAAGACGCATATCTACTTAAACTATTTTATTTTAACTGAAAGCTTATACAGATGTATTTACCTGTGAAACTTTTCTTCTAAATTAAGGCTTTTCTTTGAGCATGATTCTGCTGATTGCAGTTCTACAAAGACTTTCTTATGTGACAAATACCCATTACAGATAATCTCATTATTTCCTCAAAGGGTAGGAGAACTTAGGGACACCTATACTGTGATCTAAGTTCAAATTTCTTCTATGTTTTAATAATTTCCTCTCAACTTTTTATTTTTATTTTTTATTTTTGAGACAGAGTCTCGTTCTGTCACCCAGACGGGAGGGAGTGTAGTGGCGTGATCTCGGCTCACTACAACCTTCACCTCCCAGGTTCAAGCAATTCTCCTGCCTCAGCCTCTCAAATAGCAAATAGCTGGGACTGTGGGCATGTGCCACCATGCCGGCTAATTTCTGTGTTTTTAGTAGAGATTGGGTTTCACCATGTTGGCCAGGCTGGCCTCGAACTCCCGACCTCAAGTGAGCCCCCGCCTCAGCCTCCCAAAGTGCTAGGATTACAGGCATGAGCCACCACGCCTGGCCCTCTCAACCTTTTATAGCTGTTTTGCACATATATAACGTGGCAGTAGGGAGTAAATACCTGACTAAATTGTGATTTGATTAGAAAGAAGGAATGAGGATATATGCTTGTTTGGCAGCCAACTGTTTTTAGTACAGTAAGCATATGAAAGAATTAGTTGAAGACAACTGCTTGAATATAAATTGGGCAAAGTCTAGTACCTATGAGTGTGCAGATAGCTATGGGCACCAGTAGGTGTGGTTGACACTTCGATGGAGAGAATCAGTCTGGTGAGTGGTGAGCTGGTTAAGTGGAACTCTGTTTTGAGAACATCTATTCTAATTGTGCTTTAAAAGTGTTGCAAAAAGCTCACATAAAATTCGAGGGGAAAGGATTTGCAGAGCCGGTTAGATTTCAGCAAACTTTTAAGGACAAGATAGTAGAGAGATTTATGATAAGAAGGCGAGTATTTGCTTTATGGGCTTGAGAAATTATTAATTCCTGGCATTTGTATCATAGACTGAGAGATGACGGGAGAGACATTTCCAGAATTGATTTCAGAACATGAGAGAGCATTTCTGTGACCACTGGGTCATCCAGTTGTGTGGCTATTCTTGGGTGGTCTTTTCCTTGGTGACCATTCTCATCTCACTTGAGCACAGGCCAGAGACTGATTGTAGATGTGACACTCTTGGATTTTTTAAAACTGTACTCATTGCAAATACACACATGCACATACCTATGTACACACAGAAACATATACACACATATATGTACATATACACACATTTAGTTAAAGATCAAATTATTTGAACAGTTATATCTTTCAAAATAAATAGATATGTCTTGCAATGTACTTTTTTAAAAAAAGTATAGCTTTGTTATTTTAAAACAATTAGGATCTTATTTTCATGAGTAGTAAATTTTATGCCAGAACTCTGGGCAATTCTTATAAATATCTGCCTTCTTTAAAACCTCAGAGTATGTACTTCAGGCTCTGACAAAGGTACACTTTTTGCTAACTAAGTGTGGTTTTGAAAAATTATCTTCTTTTTTGTTTTCATGACCAGTTTGTAGAGCTAGCTGTGAAGCAGATGGACCCCCTCCTCTCCATGCAGTTACGCAAGACCGTTTCCCTAAATCATTAGCAACACACCACTCTCCTAAGCGTTTTGCACTATCTGCCAGTTGCTCCTGCTGTCACAACAGAACACTTCAAATGGTTCTCAAGATCATTTTTACTTTACTGATTTTCTCAAATCCTCTAACAAGCTTCACTACACCTTAGGTACCCTGTTGCATTTCACAGGAGACTATGAGAGGCAGCTGTCTCAGAGGACAAGAAACAGGATAGAATGTACCCAGGAAGACAGGGGAACAATTTTTTAAAAAAGAAATAATAACCATGGTCAAGTGCTGAAAGGTTAAGTAAAGGAGTGATTAAATATGATCATTGGATTGAGAGTTTGAGGGTTATTGTTGCCTGTTGAAAATAGTTTTAGCTGGGTGGTGAATATAAAGTAAGTTGCTGTGGTTTCACCAGTATGTATGAAATGAGGAAATGTGAATATTGTGTGTGGGCCACTCTTTCAAGAAGGCTAGCTGTGAATGGAAAGAGGCAGGATGAAGATAAGATTTCATTTAAGATTAAAAAGATGCAAGTGCATTTATAAAGAAGTCCATAAAGAGGGGTAGAAGTTTAGAAGAGAGGAGAAAATGATGTATTTTGGTCTTATTCCCTCTTCCTTAAAGTGTTCGTATTCATTCATTCAAATACTTATTAAACAATAACCCCTAATATTTCTTGCATATACTGAATGTGTCACTCTGTCTGATGTTATGGGAAGAGGACTATAAGGTCTTATTCATGCTCTTTGGAATTTATAGTTTAATGCCATAACACAAAATGTGAATAGGGATCATTCCTGCTTTGAGCATATTCTTTAGCAGTGTTTAATATGGCCTATTTTTATGGAGAGTCATGATTTAATAGACCTATCTGGATAAATCACAGAGTGGATATTCCTTTTAACCTCGACACCAAAACCAGAAGTAATTCCTGCCTTACAGGCTGTAGTCCTAAGCAGTGTTTTGTCAGGCTTCTATTAAGATGATATGGCTTAACCCAGGGTAGGGTTAAATCCATGTAATGATCAGTTGTATTATAATAGGATGTTGGCTTGAGCCCAAAAAGAACTCTCCAAGGCATAGCAGAAATCTCCGGGTTAATGAGATCCCCTGATGAGTCAAGTAATGCCTCCAAATGCTTATTACAGTAGTTGTTTAGTGGCTTCTAGACTTAAGTGTAAACAAATTTTTAATGAAGGCTAATAACAGAGTCTTTAAGAAAACAAACAAGAAAAGGTTTTTAGATTTTTTACAACAATAATCTCTTTTTTTTTCTTTCTTTTCTTCTTTTTCTTTTTGAGACGGAGTCTTGCTCTGTTGCCCAGGCTGGAGTGCAGTGGTGCGATCTCGGGTCACTACAAGCTCCGCCTCCTGGGTTCACGCCATTCTCCTGCCTCAGCCTCCCGAGTAACTGGGACTACAGGCGCCGGCCACCACGCCCGGCTAATTTTTTGTATTTATCCATGGTGAGTATTTGATAAATCATAGTATAAAAATTGTTTTACTTCCCAGCACTTTGGGAGGCTGAGGCGGGCGAATCATGAGGTCAAGAGATTGAGAACATCCTGGCCAACTTGGTGAAACCCCGTCTCAACTAAAAATACAAAAATTAGCTGGGCGTGGTGGCAGGCGCCTGTAATCCCAACTACTCAGGAGGCTGAGACAGGAGAATAGCTGGAACCCGGGAGGCAGAGCTTGCAGTGAGCCGAGATCGTGCCACTGTACTCCAGCCTGGTGACAGAGAAAGACTCCGTCTCAAAAAAAAAAAAAAATTGTTTTGCTTTTAGAGAGTGCATTGTTCTTTACAGCTGATAAAGCACTGCAATAAGCATTATTGCTCTCGATTCACAACATCACTGATCCATAGGCAGAGGAGGTATTGCTATTATTTTATCACAAATAAGGAAATTGGGACTCAGAAAAATTAGTAGCAATAGCTGCAGGTTGAGGGCTTTTGCACCAGGCATAGTGTTAAGAAATTTACTCTATGCTGTAGAATTTATTATTAACTGGATTTTGTGGTTGAGAAAATTGAAAAGAAGTTAAGTAACTTATTCAAGTGTATGTGACAGGTAAGTGACAGCCATAGCACAAACCCGGGAAGATGGACCCAACAGCACTCTGAGCTCCTAATCGTAATGCTTTGCTGCCTTTTTAGGGTTTCCACACATGAGTTGTTGTTGCTGTTTTTCCTTCTTCTCTGGGTCTTCTAATAAAACTTCTAATAAAAATAAACTGTCAGAAACAATGCATTTATTATGTAATATAGTTATCTAAATGTTCTTCAAAAAGTCCAAAAAAGTCAGTGACTTAACTATATATTAAGTCAGCTTAATATATAGTCATGCTTTTAATTAGCACACGTGTAGTTTCAGCTTCTAGTCAGTGACTATCTCAAAGCATTTTTTTTTTTTTTTTTGAGACAGGGTCTTGCTCTGTCACCCAGGCTGGAGTGCTGTAGTGTGATCATGGCTCACTGCAACCTTAACTTCCCAGGCTCAAGTGATCCTCCCACCTCATACTCTTGAATAATTGGGACTACAGGCACATGCCACCACGCCCAACTAATTTCTTTTTCTATTTTTTGTAGAGATGGCATTTTGCCATGTTGCCCAGACTATTCTAGAATTCCTGATCTCAAGCAGTCTGCCCACCTGGGACTTTAAAAGCCCTGGGATTCCAGGCATGAGCCACCATGCCTGGCCTCAAAGCATTTTTGTTTGTTTTAATTGAAGAATTAACAGTCATTATCTGCTGAAATGAATTATGGAACTTATTATCAACTGAAGCCAGCTTGTGTTTATTTTCCTATGAAAATATTCTAGATGTAGTAGATGTCAAAGAAATAAAATTCAGTGCGGAAGTAACTTATTGTGAAACTTTTGAGAAACTCATGAATTTATAAAGCAATTGAAAAACGTGTTATTCAAAATATTTATTATAATGAGACTTAATTGATATAATAGGAGATATATTAATGTTACATGGCAATTTCTCTGATACTATTTTAAAATATATTTAAGAAAAATTCTAAACACATTGTTGAATAATAATCTGCTTTTAATAGATTCAGTGTCAGACCCGGAATATCAGGAAGTTATCTGGTCAAACCTGTAACTATTAACTGAAGCACTGGCCTTTTTACTGCCTTTATCAACTAACAGTGGTAACACTGAAATATGTCATCCATCCAGTAATTGCTGGAGTATCATATGAATCTTGCCTCATGATTTGAATGTAGTATGTTGCTGATATTACTCAGTGTTCCTGTAGATTAAACATATATTTATGAAAACACCAATTCCTCTCCCATGAAGATGGGTATAAGGAGGAAGTGTTAGATAAAAGCATAGTCTTGAATTTGTTTTCTAGTTGCATATCTGAAACAAACAAGCAGAATATCACGATACTGAAAGGTGAAAATGAAGAGTTACAGTGTTTTATTTTGAAATAATTATCATTTCATAAGAGTTTCAAAAATACAAGAGAAGTCCCATACACTCATCACCCAGCTTCTCCAGTGGTAACATCTTACCTGACTGTAGTACTGTTGAGGGACTTGAGCATCTGTGGATTTTGGTATCTGTAGGGGGGCCCTGGAACCAGTCCCCCTCCGATATCGAAGGATGACCGTACTTTATCTTCTATCAGTAAATGATCTAAAGCAATAGTTGCCTAAGTATGAACCGATTTTGCAAACATTGAAAAGTAATACCTTTTTCTCAATAGTAGATGGAAATTATTGAAACCTTCTGACATATCAAAAAATTGAATATTAAAATCTATTTCAAAAAGAAAACTCATTCACATTTCATCTTAAAACACAGATTAACCCGGAATGCATTCAAAGTTTTGTTATTTTTTTAAACTTCCACAATCCAAGCAATGTCTCTACAAATGCATCATTTTAATGTATCATGTTCTGTTTATGCATTCATTGGTTGACAGGCATTTGGGTTGTTTCCACAGTTTGTCTATTTTGAAATATGCTGCTCTGAACATTTGTATACAAGTTTTTTATGGACACAGTTTCTCTTGGGTATGAACCTTGGAGTGGAATTACTGGGTCATATGGTAACTCTATGTTTAATATTTTGAGGGCCTGTCAAACTGTTTCCCAAAGTGGCTGCAGTATTTTACAATCCTATCAACAATATATGAGGGTTCCAATTTCTTTTCATGCTTGCCAATACTTGTTAATGTGTTGTAATTTTAGCCATCCTAGTGGGTGTGTAGTGGCATCTCTTTGTGGCTTTGATTTGCATTTCTCTGATGGCTAATGATATTGGATATCTTTTCATGTGCTTATTAATCATCTGTATATCTTCTTTAGAGAAATGTGTACTCAGATATTTTGCTCAGTTTTTAATTGAGTTGTCTTTTTATTGTTGAGTTGTTCTCTATCAGATGTATGATTTGCAAATATTTTCTGCAATTCTGTGGATTGTCTTCACTTTCTTGATGTGGTCCTGTGAAACAAAACTTTTATATTTTGATGAAAATATTTGATGATGTATATATTTTATTTTATTGTTTTTCTGTTTGATTTCATATGTGGGAAACTATTGCCTAAATCAAGATCATGAAAATTATGGCTATGTCTTCTTCTAAGAGTTTTACAGTTGTAGCTGTTTCAGTAAGCTCTATAAACTATTGTCAGTGAAATTTTGTGTATAATATGACATAGGGGGTCCAACTTCATTATTTTACATCTGGATCCCCAGTTGTGCCAGCACCATTTGTTTAAAAGACTATTATTTCCCCAATGATTTGTCTTGGCACCTTTGCAAAAAATCAATTGGCTATACATATAAGGGTTTATTTCTGGATTTTCAATTCTACTCCATTGATGTATAGGCCTAGATTTATGCCAGGACCACACTGTCTTAATTACTTTAGCTTTGTAGTACATTTTAAAATTGGGAAGCATATCTTCCAACTTTTTTTAGTATTATTTTGTCCATTCTGGGTTCCTTGTATTTCTATATGAATTTTGGGATCAGATTATCAATTTCTTCAAGAAAGGCAGCTGAAATTTTGATAAGGATTGCATTAGATCTGTAGGTTAAGTTGGAAAATATTGCCATTTTAACAATATTAAGTCTACAGTGTATAAGCCTAGGGTATATTTGCCAGTTCTTCTCTAATTTCTTTCAACAATGTGTTTTTAGTTTTCAGTGAACACATTTCGCACTTTTTTGTTACATTTATTTTATGTAGTTTCTTCTTCATGTTATTATAAATGGAATGGTTTCCTTAATTTTATTTTCAAATTGTTAACTGCCTGTGTGTAGAAATATAACTGATTTTTATATATACATTTTACTGAACTCGTTTATTAGTTGTCATAGGTTTCTTTATTGTTTTTACTGGAATTTCTATATATGGGATCTTGTCATCTGTGAATAGAGATAGTTATAGTTCCTCCTTTTCAATGTGGATGGCTTTTTTTTTCTTAACTAAATTTGTAGGTTCAAATTTTACAATATAACAAGTTTAATTGTAACAAATTTTTGAAAAACATGATTATATTAATTTTGGTATCTGTTCCAATACACATTTTCTGTACACCAGTAGATGAACCTGGAGAGCAAATCATTCTCATTTTGTAACGTAGATGTCAGCAAATATTTATTGAATGCAACATTATTTCCAGGAATGTGCTAGGCATTGTAGAGTTTAGAAAGAAAATGAGCTTTGTTTATAAACTTAATTTCATAGAGAAGCCAAGTCTCAACATGCTTGAAATAGCTCCAAGGAAAATATAGTACTGAATACAAATTTGGTGGATATTGGGGAAACTAATATGATGTTTCAGACCAATGTAAGTATTAGGACTATGGAAAAGGCAGAAAATGGCCTTATTCTTTTAAAAAATGGTTGGAATTTGACAATTAGCTCTTAGAAAAATAATTCAGAGGATGGAATATAGTTTGAGTAGGACTTAAAAAAAGAAGACTAATTAGAAGTATTTTTTTTATTAGGCAGATATAAAGTGGAAAGTTTAATTTTAATGAAAATAGAAAAAAGATGAGGAGAGAACTTTTGAGGGACAAAAAATAAGACTTGATGAAAGAGGATTATGACAGAATTAAGGGAAGGGAAAGAGAGGTCCTATGACTTGTTCAATGTCCCAAAGCTATGAGTGACAGAAATAGGACTTAAAATAACGCTTCTGACTTCAAACCCTGTGTTTATACCATGCTGCATTTCAGGAGTAACTATGAGGGGTAGTAGGCTTTAATACGTCCCCCCAAATTTCAAGTCGCCTACCATTGATCCAACTCATGTTCCTAAGTAGGAAAAATGTTAAATTTTTCACTGAAGTGCACCTTATAGCACAGTAATGTAAACTCTTGATCCATGCATTCTAGAGGTTATAGCCAAGGATGTTCATGATAAGTAGGAAAAAAGAGCTATATTTATATTAAAAATTTACATGAATGTATTCCAATCTATAATATGAAACTTATACATTCATTAGCTTTATGAGACCATGTTACATCAATTTGAACATCCAAATGTAATCATACTGCAGGAGCAATTACAACTTAGTAGTCATATCATGCTCTTCCTCAATCATTTAATGTGAGAATTCCTGTACATACTTCTCGTATTAAATTTCTTCATTTATTCAGTAAATATTTGCTTCATATTTACTCCATTCCAAGCCCCACGAGAAGAAATTATGGCTTTGTTAAATAAAGAAGGCAGCTTGCTTCTTATACTAGCTAAGTTTCTCTTAACTATCCCATTTTTTTTTGTCTGGCATGTATCCCTGTTTGCCAGAGAAAATCTGAGTTTGCACTAGTTGTTCTGGAACCCTGTCAAGTTAGCTCACTTTTCACTTTCAGATGTGAACCAATTTGAATGATAAATTGCATCGTCACCTGTAATGGCTAATTTTATGTGTCAGCTTGACTAGGTCACGGTGTGCCTAGACATTTGGTCAAATGTTATTCTGGATGTTTCTGTGAGGGTGTGAGGATGAGACATTTGAATTGAATAAAGCTGATTGCCCTCTCTAATGTGGGTGGGCCTCGTTCAATCAACTGGAGATTTGAATATAACAAAAAGGTTGAGTGAGATGGAATTTCTTCTGCCTAGCTGCATGAGCTGGAACACTGGTCTTTTCTGGCCTTCAGACTTGGACTGATGTCTTACTGGCTATTCTTGGATCTTGAGCCTATAGGATTTTCAACTAGAACTTACTCCATTGGCTTTCCTGATTCTCAGGCCTTTGTACTCAGACTGAAACTACGCCAGGTTGTTGACTGTAGATCTTGGCATTTCTTAGCTTCCGTCATTGCATGAGCCCATTTGCCCATTCCTTAAAATTTTTCTCTCTCTCTTTTTCTCTTTTGCTCATTCACTTGTTCTTGCTCTCTTTCTCTCTCTCTCTCTCTCACACACACACACACACACACACACACACACGGTTCTGTTTCTTGGAGAACCCTGACTAAATAACAGTCATACAGCTTATAATACATTTAAACTTATGTGTATGTTTCAGTAAGATTTCAATTTGAATACATATCTTCAGTCTT
This sequence comes from Homo sapiens, assembly GCF_000001405.40. Taxonomy (NCBI): domain Eukaryota; kingdom Metazoa; phylum Chordata; class Mammalia; order Primates; family Hominidae; genus Homo; species Homo sapiens. Next base: position 188,352,763 of record NC_000002.12, read on the forward strand.
CAGCCTCACTATTGAGGAACTGAAATAGGAAAATGTTAAGTATATAAATGCCAAAATTCTAGATTCATTATACATTGAACTTCCAAGAAAATGATGCAAAGTAGAGGTAAAGAAGTTTGCTAATTCATAAAACAAGATGACATTGATGAAGCACTTAAACATATTTATATATTTATAATATATTTCTACTTTAAACCATTAAATAAAGTCATTTTCCCTATTGAAGTTGATCGGTAAGGTTTTGGCAGAAACATGAGCTAAGTTTGTATGCAAAAACTTATGATAAACTATAAACCTGGAAAATTCATGGGATAATAAATAAGTAGGTATACAATGGCAAAGTAACACATTCTTTGAGTATTTACCATCTGGCAAATGCTTTATGAGGTTCTTTATATGAATTATTTTAGGAAAAGACTTGGTAGGGATAAGGAAAACAAATCTGTAGTAGAAAATACTAAATAAAAAATGAAAGCTGACATTTACCAAGTGCTCACTACATGCCAGGCACTGTTCTAAATTCTTTATGTGTACTAACTCGTTTATCCTCACAACAGGTTATGATGATCTTATTTTAACCTTACGACTGAACAAAATGAGACACAGAGTTGTTAGTTAACTTGCAAGGCCGCTCTCTGAAAAGAATGTCTTGGTGGAGCCACTCTACTCCATTTTCCCTGAGAAATCATTGCTGTGTGCTGCCCATAGGGGCCTGAGCTGAAGCTACACATTGCCTCTGAGGAAACAGTGCTTTGGCAGAGCTACTCCATCTACCCATTGTAGTCACTGTGCCAGAGCTCAGGTAGCACCGTACATCCCAGAAAAATGATGCCTTGGCTGCCTAGAGCAGTCACCGCTGCCTGTGCATGAGCTGAAGCAGTATCCTGGCCCCTGGGAAAACAGTATCTTGAATGCCCAGAGTAGGTATGCTTCCCTCCTCCCCATGACAGGAAATGGTGTCTTGGCCTCCTAGAGTGGTAATGTACCCTAGTACCCAAGCTGAAGAGGTGCCCTGTATCCCAGAGAAACAGTGCTTTGGTCACCCAGAGCAGATACCAAACCCCTCCTACCCCTACAGAGGGCCTGACCAATGAAGTTAGTTACATAATGCCTCCCAGGGAACTGGTGCCTTGGCCAAGCAGAGCAGCTGTACATCCCAGGGCAGAGCTGACATGGTACCCTGAGTCCCAAAGAAACAGTGCAGTGGATGAACTGAGACACCCTATCCTACAGGACAAGCAGTTCTAGTACCCTGCTTCCCTGGAGCTGGACTAGCCACCTAGAGCATGAGATACTGGAAATTCTCCTTCCCAGGGAGTAGAGTCATAGCTGTGTTGCTCTTTGCTCCCCAGGGCCCAAGCAATAGCTACACTACACCATTCTAGGGTCATTGCTGCCACTACACGTGGCTTCATAGAGCCTGGGATACTGCCAATTTTTACCATCTCAGAGTCCAGAGTCACCACTGCATGGTGCCTTATCCCCCCAGGATCTAAGTTGTCTCTGAGCCCTGTTGGGTCTGGTTCCCAAACTGATGCCTACCCTACTCCCTAGGTCCAAACTTTCAGAGCATTTCTAGGGCAGAAGTGCTCTGAAGGTTTGCACCTGGGGAGCAGGGTAGACTAGAACAGAGTCTCAGCTACAACCAAATTCCCTTGGTCTGAACTGCGAGGGTGCCTCAGAGTCATGGGTGCTGCTTCTGTGGGCAATCTATATCCAACACTGTCACAGAGAGTGGATCTGCACCTCAGGACCCATATGCCACAGTAGGTTCATGAGGACCTGAGCCTAGGACCTCAGCTTCACAGCTGCTCTGAATAACTGCACCCTGGAACCCAGCACTAGTGTGGCTACTTGCAGGTCATGTCAGACCTGACACAAAGAAGGATCTCCATGGCTAAGTCTCCCCATTGTGGGGAAAATGAAAATAGGAAGATCTAATACACATTTTCCGACCATTTTATTTAACATATGCAGAATACACATTTTTTTTAATCAGCACATGAAACATTCTCCTGGATAGATCATATGTTAGATGAAAAAATAAGTTCCACTAAATTCAAAACATCAAACTGATATCAAGTATCTTTTCTCTTCATAACACAGTAAATTTAGAAATCAATAACAAGAACTTTCAAAACTGTACAAATACATGGAATTTGACAACATGCTACTGAATGACCAATAGATTAATGAGGAAATTAAGAAGGGCATTAAAATGTTTCTGGAAACAAATGAAAATGAACCACAACATACCAAAACCTATGGGATATAGTAAAAGGAGTATTAAGAGGCATGTTTATAGCAATAAGCTCTACATCCAAAAAGTAGAAAGATTTCAAAGAAACAACCTAATGATGCAACTCAAGAAACTAGAAAAGCAAGAACAAACCAAACCCAAAATTAGAAAGAAGGAGTAAAGATAAACAGAAATTAACAGGATTGAGACTAAAAAATAAAAAAGATCAATGAAATGGAAAGTGGATTTTCTTAAAAGATAAGTAAAATCAACAAACCATTGGCTAGACTAAGGAAAAAAAGGAGAAAAGACCAAAATAAATAAAATCAGAAATGAAAAAGGACACATTACAACTGATATCACAGAAATACAAAGAATCATTAGAGACTATTATGAACAACAGTATGCAAACAACTTGGAAAACCTAGAGGAAATGGGTAAATCCCTGAGAATATAGAATCTATCAAGACTGAATTAAAAAGAAATAGAAAACTTCAGCAGACCAATAATGATGTGATTAAAATCATAATAAAAAGTCTCCCACCAAAGAAAATTCTAGGACCAGATGGCTTTACTGCTGAATTCTACCAAACTTGTAAAGAAGAAATAATGCCAGTTCTTCTCAAACTATTAAAAAAATTGAAGAGGAGAAAATTCTTCCTGTTTCCGTGAGGCCAGTATTATCCTGATATCAAAACCTAACAAAGATCCAACAAAAAAGAAAACTATAGGCCAATATCCCTGATATTGAACATAGATGCAAAAATGGCTTATAAAATACTAGCAAACCAGTATTTTGAACTGAATTCAACAGCAAATAAAAAAGATTGTATATGATTATCAAGTGGGAATTAACCTGGAATGCAAGAATGGTTCAATATAATCAAATCAATATCCATGATACATATCAACAGAATGAAAGACAAAAACCATTTGATTATCTCAATGGACACAGAAAAAGCATTTGATAAAATTCAACACATCTGTTCATAATAAAAACTCTCAACAAATTATGTATAGGAGGAACATGCCTCAACATAATAAAAGCCATGTATGACAAACTCACAATCATATATGCCATACTGAATGTAGAAAAGCTAAATTATTTTACCCTAAGTACTGGAAGAAGACAAAGATGTCCGTTTTCATCACTTTTATTCAACATGGTACTGAAAGTCCTAGCTAAAGCAATTAGGCAAGAGAAAGAGAAAAAGGGCATCCAAATTGGAAAGAAGGAAATGAAATTGTTTCTGTTTGCTGATAACGTATTCTTATATGGAGAAAAATCTAAAGCCTCCACCAAAAAATTCTTAGAATTGATCAACAAATTCAGCAAAGTTACAGCATATGAAATCAGCACTCAAAAAATCAGTAGTGTTTCTATACACCAACAAAGAACTAGCTGAAGAAGAAATCTAGGAAAGCAATCCCATTTACAACAGCTACAAATTAATACCTAGGCATAAATTTAACCAAGGAGGTGAAATATTTCTACAAGAAAAACTACAAAACATTGATGAGAGAAATTGAGAAGGACACACACACACAAATGGAAAGATATCCATGTTTATGGATTAACACAATTAATATTGTTAAAATGACCATGCTATTCACAATGATCTGCAGATTGAATGCAGTTATTTTCAAAATACCAATGACATTCATCACAGAAATAGAAAAAACAATTCTAAAATTCTTACAAAACTACCAAAGACCCCAAAAAGCTAAAACAATCCTAAGCAAAAAGAACAAAGCCAGAGGCGTCAAACTTCAAAATATACTACTAAGGACTAATGACTTCAAAATATACTATGAAGTGCTGGTAAGCCAAACAGCATGGTACTGGCATTAAAACAGACACATAGACTAATGGAATAGAATAGAGAACCCATAAGTAAATTCATATATTTACAGCCAGCAGATTTTAAACAGAGGCACCAAGAACATTTATTGTAGAAGTGACAGTCTCTTCAATAAATCATGCTGGGAAAACAGGATATCCACATGCAGAAAAATAAAACTGGACCCCTATGTTTCACCATGTACAAAGATCAACTCAAAATTGACTAAAGATAAATGTAAAATCTGAAAGTATAAAACTACTAGAAGGAAACATAGGGGAAACACTTTAGGATATTGGTCTGGGCAAAGATTTTACGAATATGACCTCAAAAGCACAGGCAACCGAAACAAAAATAGACAAATGGGATTATATCAAAGTAAAAGGCTTATGTACAGCAAAGGAAACCATCAACAAAGTTAAAAGACAACTTACAGAATGGAGAAAATATTTGCAAACTATTCATCCAATAAGGGTTTAATATCTAGAATATATGATAAACTCAACAGCTTCCAAACAAATAATCCCTTTTTAAAATGGGCAAATGATCTGACTAGACATTTCTCAAAAGAAGACATACAAATTATCAGTAAGTATATGAGAAAACGCTTGACATCGCTAGTCATCAGGGTAGTGCATATCAAAACTATGATGAGATGATAATTCACCACAGTTAGAATTACTATTATTAAAAAGACAAAAATAACAAATACTAGTGAGGATGTGAAGGAATGAGTACTTTTATAATCTTTTGGTGGGAGGATAAATTAGCACAGCTATTACAGGAAACAGTATAGAGGTTCCTCAAAAAAACTGAAAATAGAATTGCCGTATGATCAGCAGTCTCACTACTGGGTATATCTAAAGGAAAGAAGATCAGTATATTAAAGAGATATTTGCACTCTCATGTTTATTGTAGTGCTAATCAAGATATGTCCATTAACAATAGCCGAGATATGGAATCAACCTTAGTGTACATAAACAGATGAGTGGATAAAGAAAATTTGGTATATGTGTACAATACAATATGCAGCCATTAAAAAATAATGAAATCCTGGCTGAGACAGTGGCTCACACCTGTAATTCCAGCACTTTGGGAGGCTGAAGCAGGTGGATCACTTGAGGCCAGGAGTTCAAGACCAGCCAGGCCAACATGGCGAAACCCTGTCTCTACTAAAAAAAATAAAAAATTAGTGGGGTGTGGTGGCACACGCCTGTAGTCCCAGGTACTCAGGAAGCTGAGACACAAGAATTGGTTGAACCCAGGAGGCAGAAGTTTCAGTGAGCCAAGATTGCTCCACTGCACTCCAGCCTGGGTGACAGAGCGAGACTCCATCTCAAACAACAACAACAACAACAACAACAACAATTCTTGTCAGTGAAATAAGCCAGGCCCAGAAAGATAAATACTGCATGTTTTCACTTATACTCGGAAGCTCAAAAAGTTGTTTTTATAGAAGTAGAGAGTAGATTAGTGGTTACTAGGGACTGGAAAGGGTAGATGGGATAGGATAGGGAGTGGTTGGTTCATGAATACAAAATTAACAGTTAGATAGAAGGAAAAAGTTCTGTTGCTTTTTAGCACTGTAGGGTGAATATAGCTAACAACAATTTATTGTGTATTTTCAAATAGGTAGAAGAGAGGATACTGAACGTTACCAACATTAAGAGTTGGTAAACATTTGAGGTGATGGATATGCTAATTACCCTGATTTGATCATTACACATAGTATACATGTATCATGTATTGAAATAGCACATTGCACCCCATAAATATGTACAATTATTATGCAACAATTAAAAACTCTGATAAGTATAAAGGACTAATTTTTCAGGAGACATAATTAGTGAGGTTGGAATAAGATTTACACAGTATAAAATTTAAGACTGCCTAATTCTTGCACAGTATTTTATATGAAGAAAATTAAATAAAAATAAGCTTGCTTCACATACAATTCAGTTTGAAAACACCTGTTGTAATAGTCATTAGTTTAATTAACGTTATTAACATTGGACATCCATTTCTAATGAGTAAATATTAAGTAATTGACACATTAAAAAATAAGTAATCAGTCTAGCATCTTAAATATGTAGTTGAAATGGACTCAACTATATTCTTTTGGTTTATAGATTCTTTTTATTTTGGGAAAAGAACCAAAAATTTCTTTTGATTTTCAAAAAATGCTAACATAATTATAATAAGGCAATTATAATGAAGTATTGGAGGTCTTATCAATTATTTTTTTCACAGATAAATTTAGTGTTTTAAGTTGGATTTGGATAGTAAACATACAACATCTTTAGATACGTGTTTCAAAGTATCTGTAAGCTGATATGCCTCCATTCTGTTCTCATTTCATTATTTTTTAACATTAATTTATTCTTTCAAAAGATATTTATTGAGTTATACTTATATGCCATGCATTGTACCAACTTTTGGAGATGTAGTGATGAGCAAAGAAGATGTAGTCACTGATAATTATTTAGGCTCCAGAGTGATATATGCTATAAGGGCTAAATAAACGGGGCTGTGATTGTATTTTACAGTTCTTAAAATGACAGTAAAATAACTGACTTAAGATAACTACCAACAAACTCAAATATCTATCTAACTAAGCCAAACTTTTGGAAAGCTTTTCTCTGCTAGCATGGTATTGAATGTATTTCCTGTTATCATATGCTTCATGCTCCTATAACATACAAAATGAAAGCATTTCATTAGATTGTGATCAAGTTAGTCTCATGGGAAAATTTGCCTCAGTTTATTGTTTTGAATGTAAGGTGGCTTTATAGTTAGTTGTAAATATAAGAGCAAGATGAACTGTATTAAAAATTATATTGATGTACTATTAGTTATTGCTTTTCTGAGGAGAAGGGAGGTGATAGGCCCCAAATAACTGATTGCTCGTTTTTCCTTAGCATGGTTTTGGAAGGAAAAGACTTTGCTTTTTCATGTGACATTAGTAATATTGTAGGACTTAGAAAACTGAACTCAAGATGAGATGCTGCTTATGCACTGGTTAACTTTAGGAATTGTGCAAAAAGATATATTAGAGCTATTACACAGAGAGGAAAGAATCAGTGAGTAAATGAACCAGGAAAGAGACTGGGGACTAGCTAAATGTAGAGGTTTTCAGTGTTTGTTTTGTGATTGTTCTGTATTTATCAAGCCTTGCTGATTTTTTGTAATGTCAGTTGAACTTCTCCATGCTGCAGAATTTTGTTTTCCCATTGGCAAGATGCTCTGCTGCCTCTTGATCTCCAATTCTCTTTGGTTGACATCCTGTAGTTTCCTGCTGGTTTACTTTGATGATTCTACCTACTTCATTCTTAGATTCTCTGGTTATGATCTTATAAACAGTGCCACTCATGACTAAAACGAATGCATTCTGGACAAAATAGGCTTTACTTTCTTTCTGAACTGCTAATAATTTTCAAGCCTAAAAATCTTCAATCACAACCCAAAAAGTCTATAGCTACCTACTGTAGCTTTCAAAAAATCTCTATTATGCACCATAGGCAACTCAATATTTTCTTCTAACACTAAATTTCAAGCAATTAAATTTCCTCCAATGGCTGAAAACTACTAGAAGTATTTCAAGTTTTTTTTTTTTAATCACTTTTTCTGGCATCAAATCTTGGATGCATCAAATCATAGAAAGCCCTTTGGCAGTAAGAGCTGCTTCCACCTGTGAAATCTTTATTCTGATTTCTTAAGAGGAAGATTGATTTAATTGTCAATGTTGACTAAGTAAGTGGTGAAGCTTTTGTTTTTGGTTTGGTCATGGTGTGCACAATGTCTGATCCCTGTGTCCTTGAAAGTGCTCTTGTCAGTCAAGACAGCACTGGAGAAGGAGATTAAATGGAAACCATTTGGCTGCTGTTTTTGGAAAGATAGCAAGGCATGACATGCTTATGTGAATACAGAGCAATAAAACACAAACTGCCTTTTAGAAATTTTATTGTGAAGTTTGTATTTCATTTTATTATCTGATTTTAAGAATTGAAAAGTAAATAGCCCAAATAACAGTCTTGATTTTAATATATAATAAATAGTTTAGTTACCATACAATTGAAGGGTATTATTCAACGTAATCATGAAATATAGTTTCTCTTTTATGGTGGCGTGAACCTGAAAACTTAATTATTTTCCCCAATAAATTAGCAATTTAAAGCTCTTTGCCTTTCTAAAATGTCACTGCATTGCGTAATATTGCGCAGATGACAAAGATAGCTTGACCATGACGTATTAAATGCTAAATGTTACGTGCAGCATGTAAAATACGTTCTGCTTTGTAAAATTATTTGATAGAGAGTCGCTGTCATTGTTTTTGTCAATCATTTATTCATCTGTTCTGTCCCAGGCTTCTTTTTATCTAGTCATTTTCAAGAAACGCTGATGCCTGCTTCTGATCTCTAGTGATTTAAATTAGAGTCTCTGAGCATGAAAAGGTGCTAGGCCAAGGTCTAGGAAAAGAAATCCTAAGGCAGGAATGACTCTGGCTTGTTTGAGGCACAGCAAGAAGATTTATAGAAGATTTTTGTGAATGGAATGGGTGGGGCAGGGGAGGCAGGAGAGAAGAGAGAGAGAGAGAGAAACAAGGGCCAGCTTATGTAAGATCTATAGGTCTGTAAGTGTTGGCGGAAACTATGAAATGATTTTTATGCGTGGAAATGATGTGATATTATTTGCATAAAAAGATCATTGTGACTTTAACATCATTACAGAAAAAATATGGAGGACACCCTTGGAAATTGCACATTTGATGTTTGTTGTGATTTGTTAGGTGTTCACACCTAAACCAAATTGAGGTAATTCTGTTTGGCAGATTAATTGTATGAGAAGAAAACTTTGTTGGCGGAAAATTGACACTTATCTATTCAGCTTTTAATGACCTGGTTTAGAAAGCAGCTTAATGCTTACCATGCCTATGATGTATATGGTGACAACTATCCTGTTCTAATGGAGAGGAAGAAGCACATTTCTTTTAATAAATGTATGTCATTTATATTCAATACATTTTTTCTTAATTCAAAGAGATTTTGAACAAAATCTTGTTTCCATCATGATTGCCTGCTTTTCCAAATTTAATTCTATTTCCTGCTTATTGACAAAATGTTTTTTGTAAATACTGAGATTTATTGTTCCTCAATTTTAAAAAGTAAAAATTATTTCATGACATCTTTATGAACCTGATTTAATGTGCTAATGACTACTTGCATGTCATATACTTCTGCCTTTCAGTCAAGAGCTTAGTTGTAGCAGTTGACCCATTTTCTGAAAATAAAATTGTTAATGGTGAAACTGTGTCTATCTCATCATTTTTCTGAGCACATTACAAACAAAACTCTGGAAATATTCCATGTAAAAGTGTTTCCTTGTGAGATAAAATAAGGAATTATTTGGAGCTTCAAAATAAACATTAATGTATTAAAAATATGAGGAATACCATTATAACATTGTTTAAATATGTTTAGTCCTATGGAACCATTTTGAGTGTGTGTGTAAAACACCTCATATGTTTCATAGAACTAGTGTTTTTCAGAACTCATTTTTGGAAATGTTTTTCTACATATATTACTGACTTTTATTTCTGCACGTGATATTATTGATGATGCCTTACTCACCTGCACATGTTTATAAACAAAACAAAACAGTGGAAGACTTGTGATTCTTTTTGACACTGAACAGATGTGAAATTTATTCCCTTATTAGTGCCTGCAGGACGTACAGGTAAACGTGTTAAAGGTCTGTTGCTTGTTCTTCTAAAGTCTTAAATTTAAATTTACAAGTAACCCCAGGTTTTTTCACAAAGGAGTAACTACAGTCCTCTTAGCCATATGCCAAGATATTAGATGTTTGTGTTTCTTTAACAAGCTTCTGGACATTATGGGTGTAGATCCTTTCCATTTTTTCACTTGTAATCTGACTTAGAAGGCTGATGGATCATACTGGCCAAGAGAGTAAAACATTGTTTGATCCTTTCAATGCACACAGTGGCTTTTCCCACCAAATGTGTAACAACCGAAACATTTGGAGATCTAGCACATCTTACTTCCAACCAGTGAAGGAGAACAGAATATGGAAAGGGAAAAAGACGCTTAATAGGAGGTGGGTTCTAATTTTTTAAAAAAGAAAAAAATATGAATCGTAAAGAAAGGTAGATGAAGTAGCTAAGTGACTGGAAAGACTTCCTACAGTTAATTTCCTAGGAGTTATGGAAATATTAAAGTTTGAAAAATGACTACTTAATCTTTATTATCTTTTAAATTAACATCATTGCCTACTTTTTCTTATAGAAAACACTTGTATTTTTCAAGTGTATTTGTAAGAATTTAAAGTCATAACATCTAACTGCCTTTGGTAACTTTGAGGGTTCATTTTTACACCTTTGAATAATTACAGTATATCTCTGTGTGTAATGTTTTTAGTCTATAGATGGTTACTTGGTGTGTGGATCTGTAGATGTTATGCAATAATTTGTAGCCCTTAGAGTCCAATGGATTGGAACTAGCAAAAGCAATGGCTGTGCATCAAGAATTAATTGACTAGAGTTTAGTTTAGATGTTTGCAGGGACCTAATTATGGAGGAGTGTAAAATTTATCTTGAAAATTCCAAGGAAACATTGAAGGATGGTAGATAGGTGGGTGGCAGAATCAAGATTTGCAGTTATAAGCTATCAATGCCAGAGAGCAGAGCAAGGACTGGGGAAAACAGTGTAGGAATGAATGAAGTGTTAGTCCAATTTTCAAGGCAAAGGGTTATTAATCTCTGACACTAATGGAATGAAGACGAAGGTATACATTTTAACACTCTTTTGAAAGCAAAATATTAGGTCGGAGCAATAGTAATTGTGGTTTTTGCCATTGTACATAAGATTTGATGACAATGTAGAGAGTTGAGTGAAAGGAAGAAATACTGTATAACTTGAAGAACTGACATTTGCAAGTTAAGAAATTTGAGAGAGGAGCAGCTTTAGCACTCATGAAAATAAGGGCTTATTTCTATGTGTCTAATTTGTGGCAGCTTTAAGAGCTAACCAGTGGCAGTAGTCCCTGCTGATCATACTTTATGCGCTTGTGTTACATCAGATTTTATATATTATGTTCTATTAAACTTATCAGATCTAACATTGCAGCTTTTTAAAAGGTAAATTAAAATCTTCAGTTTACATTCAGTGCACTTAATGTGTGTTATTGCTACTTTGTCTAGCATCTAGCTTATTTAGAACTTGCTGACCTCCCTCTGTGCTTCTCAGGAGAATCATTTGCTGTAGGTAAATAATTAAATAAATCCTTGTGGATTCCTATCTGATCATCTTGCTCAAGCAATAGGCAATCCTTTTGCAAATAAGTGCCTGCAAATCCCTGGGAAATCCCGTTTGGCTTTCCATGTGGGTGTTTGCATTTCTGTTATGTGGAGGATCACTGAAACCACTTGTTGATCCTCAGGGTTATTGGGTTACTTAATAGGTGAAAGGAGGTCTGTGGAGAGAATTCACAGTGGAAAGTGAAGATTTTTAATTCCAAACAGCATGTTCAGAATACTACCACGCTCATGGTAGTAGGCTGTCAGCCTTCGCATCTGTGTAGTAATAAAGCCCAACTAATTTGGAACATTCTGTCTCCAGGGAAGGATGAAGAGGGAGCTATAAGACAGACTGTAACCTTGAAGGAGAGCAGCTATGGAGCATTATCATTTTCTCTGTTCCTCTTCTTTCTTTCTCTGGGAGGGAGATGCTAGTCATGTAACCTATGGTTTGCGGTTTTTTATCAAAGAGGGGAGATGAGAATCTCATTCTGAATATCATCCATAATTTTTGTTGATATGCTGCAGTGTAGATCATGGGATATGTATGTGTGTGTGTGTGTGTATGTATATATCATATACATATCTATATATATGATACATATACATATATACATATATACATGATATATATACATATACATATCATATATACATAAATACACATATATACATATATGATCCAAGTATATATGTATCCACAAACACACACACACACATATACACACACACACACACGTATATACACAAATACACACACACACACATATATATGTGTATATATATATATACACACACACACTTGGGTCAATTCATTTTCATTTTGACATCCACCACTGGAGTGGTTGGATAATACTTGAAGGACTTTAATCAGTGATCTAAGTTCTGGAGGCAGCTGGGGCAAGATTTCAAATTGCTGTTTACATCTGTACCAGTGGGTTAATTAGCACAAAAAGTATTAGAAATAGTGTTTCCCTGATGAAACAAGTGGTGTTCATCATATGCAGCTGGCTAGAAATATGGTTTGGAAATCTCTGCCTTGCCAGCTGTGTGCTGGTATGGCAGTACACATGGTCCTATACTCCTGCCCTGCCATATCTTAATGGAAGATCTGTCCTAGGATCTTTTCCTGGATTGACTGGGAAGGTTAATCTTGTAAGGGATGCAATTTTATTTATCTTGGAGATCACCATTCATGTAAGGGGCTTTTGTAGTGATAGACTAGGGACTTCACAGAGCTTACTGGAACAGTATGTATGACTGTTTTTGTGCCTACTGGCTAATATTTGCTTATGAGGCAGAATTTTGTTTGTGCTTTGTTTTGCTGTGAAATATACCTGGTTGTCAGGTTGGTTATGAGGAAGCATAAAATTCTTGAGTGCTACCAATATTTATTAGAAGGAAGCTGATAATTGTTGATTGAACATTGGTTTGGATCTTGTTGCAAGTCTACTGGGAAGGAATGTCTGCAACATTGTCTGAGGACTTTAGAAAGAATGAATTAAGAGAGGGTAGGATGTCAAGAAAGGCACGGTAAAGATAGTCCAGGCCTGAGAAGTAAGCGGACTCTAGTTGGCCCTGCAGGAATCTGCTTCCTATGTTATGGAACATACAGAGATTGCCTGAAGGGGTGAGACAAGGGAAACAACACTGCTCTTGGAATCTCTAATGTCAGAAACCTTGAAGTGGGCGATATGGTATATGCACATTTGAAAGCCATGAATGTGCTGCAGAAAAGAGCTAAAGGGATGCCATCTGGGCAGACCTAGAGAGAACAAGTGGCCAGAACATTAGTAGGTTAGTGTCATACCAATGCCAGGGCCAGATAAAATGATGATGGGAACAACAATGTCCAGCAGGGAAGGAAATGATCAAGACCACCTGTCCAACTTTTCTGCTCAACTGAGGGGCATCCCTCAGGTTATCCAACTTTCTGTGACACCTCCAGCAGCCAGAGCAGGCCAACCAAGAAAAGACAGCATAGGAGAAGGGGGTATGGGGCAAAAGAAGGGCCTGTAAAGGAGGAAAGGAAACTCTAAATTAGAAATTTTATGCTGAATAGTGACTGAGATTTGAAAAACAAAACAAAGCAAAGCCCCCAAACACCCCATAAAAACAAAAACCAAGAAACGGTTTACATGACAAAGCCACTGGACTAAGAATACCAGAAAGGCAGAATTATTTTCCCTAGACAGATTGATGTTTATGAAGTTCATGATGTTATGTGCAATTCAAGAGAAAAAAATAAGCTCCATGTCACATATCTGACTATTAAGTGCACATATTTCTGTGTTAACTGCCCAGTATAGCATCTATTGCATCTGAACTAGCTCTCTTTTCTTCTTCCGTCACCTTTTGATTCATTTGCATGTCTGTCTATCTACAATTACATGGGCTTTTTGTATTTTACTTTGTAGGGCGACTTCCAGTTACTTTCTTTTTTTTTTTTTTTTTTTTTTGAGATGGAGTCTCGCTCTGTTGCCCAGGCTGGAGTGCAGTGGCGCGATCTCGGCTCACTTGCAAGCTCCGCCTCCCAGGTTCATGCCATTCTCCTGCCTCAGCCTCCTGAGTAGCTGGGACTACAGGCGCCCGCCACCATGCCCAGCTAATTTTTTGTATTTTTAGTAGAGATGGGGTTTCACCGTGTTAGCCAGGATGGTCTGGATCTTCTGACCTCATGATCCTCCCGACTCGGCCTCCCGAAGTGCTGGGATTACAGGCGTGAGCCACCTTGCCTGGCCCCAATTTGTTAAATCCTTGCATCTTCCACTCAAGAAAATGTGGCATATGCTCCTTAACTTGTATTTTGACATAACATTTCAGATACTTTCCTCTATATTAGACAATAGATAGAAGTGCACATATTTTTATTTGTTGTAGTAACAAATGGATGTTTTTACCTTTATATGTAGTTAAATTTTTGTTTATATGTGCAGATAAATAGAGCACAAATTCCTTGAGGGCAGAAAATCTGTCTTGTTCATGTTGTTTCACTACCATAGAGACATTATCCCTGATATTCAATAAATATTGGTTAAATGAATACATTTCAGTTACTGGAATGATGTCCCACTGTTTATAGTTTTTCTCATATCTTAGTATTTGTCTGTGTCTGTGTGAACTGGTCACGATGGTTAGGGGAGCAGGCCAGGTGCTGGGGATGTTGTCTCAGCTGCAGGGCAGACAGTTGCGTTCTAGTGAGTAAATAGAAGCAGCTTGATGTCCAAGGTTTCCCAAGACTACCTCCAGGTGCTTTGGAGGAAACAGATTAGCTCCAGGAGTCCCCGATGGAGCAATAGGGAGCTTTAGCTTGTGGGCATGGCACAGCAATGGAGAATCAGGTGGTATTTAATATGTAGACACCTGGGGCTTTAACCAGTGTTCTTTTTGAAGTCTAGGTCTGCCATGCCAGTGAATGGGATTTATTTGTCAAGTTTCAGTTTCTGGAGGGAGGGTGTGACAAAAGTACATTAAGATTCTAGGAACTCAGAAACAGGTATCAAGATAGAAACGGTTACATACTGAAGCCCAAGGAGGGATGCACAATTAGGAACGTGGTTGTCTGTGGCCTCTTAACAGAATGGGTAGCTTCTGAGAGGGAGGAGGCTGCGACTCTGGACCCAGCCATCATCACTGTCCTGCAACCTGTCAGAAGAGTGATCAGTATCATTAAATGAGGAATAAAAAAGCCCAGTTGATCTCTTGCCTGAAGTGTTTTGACTGTAGGATGGGTGGGTGGGGGTTCTGATTGTGAAGCTTGGAAAATAAGGACATGGTGATGCTCTGTGAGCACACTTATATCTATTAGTCCACCTCATTTTTTTCACCCTTTTCATCTCTTTCTTTTGTGTCTCCTTTATAGCAGAAACCTTTCTGCTTTCTATCCCTTCCTCTTCTTTCAATCTTCTCTTTCTCTTTTTCTTCTTTTGCCTTTCTCCCAGCTGCAGGGTATGATTTTGTAAGTATGGTAAAAATTCTATACCTAATATCTTATGATTTAGGTAAATAAAATCTAATGCATATGTAAGAATAATCTAGAAAAAAGGTCTGGGGATTTTTTGGTGTTGAGGGATCTATAAAACTGAGAAAGAATGTGTTTTTTCTGCGACATTGATGGAACCTATGAATACATTTAATTTAGACTTTATGGCCGAGTGTGGTGGCTCATGCCTTTAATCCTGGCACTTTGGGGGCATAGGCGGGTGGATCACTTGAGGTCGGGAGTTCGAGACCAGCCTGATCAATATGGTGAAACCTCATCTCTACTAAAAATGGAAAAATTATCTGTATGTGGTGGCATGCGCCTGTAGTCCCAGCTACTTGGGAGGCTGAGACAGGAGAATTGTTTGAACCCAGGAGGCAGAGGTTGCAGTGAACCGAGATAACACCACTGCACTCCAGCCTGGGTAACAGAGCGAGACTCCATCTAAAATAAATAAATAAATAAGTAAATAGATAAATAAAATAGACTTTAGTTAAAAAAATGTTTTCAGTATAACAAAGAAAATACAGAAGCCAAAGTTAAGTTATGTTTGCCCTACTGTTCTTGTGAAGAAAGAAAAGATAACCACAGCATAGGTTTATTTGTTGTTATTGCTTTGAATTAGCTATAGAACAGTTATGTATAAATGAAAAACATATTTCCTTTTTTGAAAACTACACTTTTTTCAGTGACTTAAGACACATAACAAATTTATGTGGCCTTTTTTTTCTTTTCATTGGGTTAGTATAATTCTTTGAGAGTGTATTAATAGATAGAATATATATATATGTATATATATATGTGTGTATATATATATATATATATATATATATATATATATATATTTGAGACAGAGTCTCACTCTGTCGCCCAGGCTGGAGTGCAGTGGTGTGATCTTGTCTCACTGCAACCTGCCTCCTAGATTCAAGCAATTCTCCTTTCTCAGCCTCCTGAGTAGCTGGAACTACAGGTGCATGCCACCACACTCAGCTAATTTTTGTATTTTTAGTAGAGATGGGGTTTCACCATATTGGTGATGCTAGTCTCAAACCCCTGACCTCAGGTGATCCGCCTGCCTCGGCCTCCCAAAGTGGTGGGATTACAGGTGTGAGCCACCATGCCTGGCTGTAAAAAAAATATTTTTACAGTGTTGTATACAATCAAAGTTTTGTTCATTCATCATTTTAAGACAAGTTCCTTGAATGGATGTTAAGGAGACCAGACAGAAAAGATTATGATAGATTCTTTTGATTGCAAGAAAAAAAAAAACTCACTCACCTCAGAAAGGCTAAGTTTAGAGATGAACAAGACAGGAACCCCAGCCAACATGTCCAGTCTTTAAGAGAACCCGGGGAAGATGGACTGAGATTCAGAATTGGGACGTAACTAGTGTGGCTCTTCTGAGTAGATTCCCTCTCTGCCCCCTAGTGACAGAGTTGATCCTCTGCCATTGGGATGACAGCTCCCTCTGTCATATTTTTCTTGCTGCCACCAGTACTCTCTTTATTGTAGATGTTTCTCTACCATTTTCTGTCTCGGTTTCTTATCACTTATACTTATTATTCATGAACTCTACTGCTTTATAACATCTGTAAAGTATCTTATTCCTCTGTGTCTTTGGTTTTCTGCTCCAGCTACAAACAGACTAATTCTCTTCCCATCCCGCTCAGAGTCTAGAGCCTATTCTTGGTTCAGGTAATTCACTGTTACTGTTGCATTTTTTTTAAGAGACGGAAGTCTCCCTCTGTCACCCACGCTGGAGTGTGATGGTGCCATCATGGCTCACGTCAGTCTTGACTCCCCAGACTCAAGCAGTCCTCCTTCTTAGCGTCTCAAGTAGCTGGGACTACAGGTGTGTGCCAACACACCTGGTTAATTTGTTTTGTATTTTTTGTAGAGACAGGGTCTTGCTTTGTTGCCCAAGCTGCTGTTGCTTTGCTTAGGTGGAGGTTTTGTGCCAGATCCCCACGTAAGCCTTAGATGATCTAGTCTTAGCTCAGGTGCCTACTCTCGTATCTTCAGAGGGGGAAAGGCTTATGTTGATTGTCTTAAGGTAGGGTTATTCTTCCAGCAGGAGAATGGGGGATGACATTCACAGATGAGATTTATAGGCATGGCAGGCATTTTGAGAGCACACAGATGGCCAGTTTGAGCATAGTGAGAAATTCCTTGTCACAAGTGCACTGGTTGGACAATCTATGGTACCTAGCACAGAAACTTGCTCTTGGTTGACCTTATATTTTTGTTTACCTTATTTCTGTTTTGAGCAAAACAATCAATGAATGAGACATAACTATTCCTCACTGAGTTTTTGAGACTTTCTTTGGATCTCATTGCATATTTTATTTATGCCCTCCTCATTTAGTTCACAATTTTCCTTACAAATTAATTGTCATTTACTAACTACTTTATGGGTTATTTCAATCCATAGATGAGACTTAAAAACACATAAACCACTTATACTGGGAATTAAACTTACTTGATAATGTTGACGTCTGTAAGTATTTGAGGCTATTTCAGTTTTAAAACATAATAAAGATTGCATCTCACAGTGTAGTCTCTGTCTTGAATAAATTGCTTCTCTGCAAAGTAAGTCCTTGAGCTAACACTCAAGAAATTACACATGTAACATTGGCCAAAAGCACAGTTAGCATTTTTTAAATTTGAGGGGGGATTGTCTTTAAGAGAATATACTTTCAAATGTATGTGTTACTTCCCTTTAAGCATGTGTGTATGTGTGTGTGTGTGATGATTGTTGGTTTGATTTTTGGCAGGGTGGAGATTGGTGACCTATTGATAAGATTTTTCTCCTCTCTTTAACACTTTTCATTCTTTACCCAAACTCTTCCTAAACATCTATTGAGCATTTACTATTTCCCAGGCACAAAGAAAATGATGTAATTTTTATCTAATTCAGACATACAGTAAGTCCGTGGTTGCTGTATTTACAAATCAGCTGGCAAGATGTAAGTAGTTTGAATACTATGGTTTCCTTGATTAGGCTGCAGTTTTTAATCATTTGTACAAATGGTTATATTCTTTCAAATTTCATACTGTTTATGATTTTTTTCTGAAGCAGGGTTTCTTGGCAGGTATTAATAGAAAACAATAAACATCATTATTTCATTTGGCAATAAACAATTAATAGCTTAGAATGGTTTTCTAATAAAAACACATTCTACAATGAATGAGAGTTTTTCTTTTCCAGCACTATCAATAAAAACTTACAGTTCCCTAAAATGGTGAAATCAAATGATAAATAGTACAAAGGATTTTAACATGCAAACTAGATGTGTTATCCTCCATTTGTAAGAAGGAAATAAGAGAGTCGAGATTTCTGAGTCCTGACCTTGGCTGTGGTGCTACTAACTCATCTTTCAACGTTGATTTTCTCTTTGGTAAAAGAAGGAAAGCACAACACTGTGTATGGGACAGAGTAGTTTTGAAAATAAAATGTCATTATATCAGTGAAAGCATTTAAATTAAAAGAAACTTACAAATTCATCATGATCAGAAGCTTACCTAATTAGTATAGATTACTATTTAGAAATTAATAATTAAGTTAAGCAAGCATTTAATAGGCTGACATCTATTATAACATTATGATAACAAGTTATTATAATTTATTTACTTGTCTGTCTACTCTACTATTAGATTAGAAACTCAATTTCTTCATCTGTTTTCCTAGTCCACAATACAATGCACAACATTGAGCAGGTGTTTGGTAAATGTGTGTTGGGTGACTACAGCAAGAGAAGAGATAAAGATGAATCTTTACAATATCATAGTCTGATTATTATATACTACTGAACGAGCTTTCAGTCAGGCTTCAGAGAAAGTTAGATCCATTTAAGAGGTAGCTACATCATTGATTTTTCCAATGCCTCAAACTATGAGATTGGAAGACTTTTGTTTCTTTAATTTCACTTGTTGTCGTTGCTGTGAATGGTTACAGCAAACACAGAGAGGATGTGCCTCTGGCAGTATTATCTTCATTAACTGTATCAAGTTGTCTTCACTGAGATAATGTATTGTGCTGACTTGAATATAAGTGTTTTCATGAATGGCAAATTGATGAAGACTGGTTTGCCCAGCTGCATCTAGTTCTCCAGAGGAGTTACCTCCTATGGCTAGTACTAGTACTTTCTACTTACTAATAGATTCAGAGCATTGGGAAGATTCCTAGTTGGTCATTTACTTCTTTTAACTACATACAGCTTGGAAATTAAATATCGTTAGTATTACATAACCTGTTTCTTATGGTGAAATGTCTGCGAAAGTTTACATGCAAGTGCACTCTGACATCACTTGTTGGAAAAAGGAAATTTGGTTGTAAATTTTGCCTTTTCAGCATGTCATAACTTCTCCTGGAATGTGTAATATGACCTCATATTTGTATTGTACTTACAGTTTTGAAAGTGTTTTCATACATGAACTCCTTTAAAAATACTCCAGGAGAGAGGGAGGTTAGGTATTATTAACATCATTTTGCAAGTGCTCTGTAGATTATTTTGACCTAACATCCATGTGACATATCTAATTGTTAAATGAAATTAGACTGGACCTTTTTATGTTGATATTTCTGCCCCTTTTATTCTTCTGGAGATCTGTGAACAAAGAAGATACTTGCTATCTACACTAAGCCATATCATTGGGTCTTGGAAGACTGAGCTCAAATGAGATAATTGCAATCTTCTCTCCTCACAGATAGGAAACTATCTTCAGGTATCACAGAGTAAATGTTAGATAACTAAAAAGGTCAGAGATATTTTTAAAGTTTTGTTAGGAGAGAAAAAATTCCCTTCTGCGTTTTATCCTTCTATCCAAGAATAGGCTGAAGAGAAAGATGTCCTTAGCTTGGGTAAATAGAAAATAATCCTTGTTTATTATAAGCATTTTATATATTCATTTATATCACAGTGTGTTTTATGGAGCTGGGGAAGGGAATGATTATATATATATATATTTATAATGCATGGCCTCTTTCTTAAGTAGTCATAGTTTACTGAATTCTGTTTGAAGTGGGAACTAAGCTCTAACAGAGGAAACATGGAGAAGAACATTCTAGAGAGGAATCAAGTACCTTCAGTACTAATCAGATTTAAATAGTATAATACAGTTGAACTAATTTAAGAGAAAAGTAGCCTAATACTTTCTGAGGGAGCAATGAAGAAAAATGAGCTTAATAAGATAAACTTTTATTTATTTAATAGTTGATATTTAGAGATACATTTTTGGTTCTTTATATTTTGGTTCTTTATGATATTTTGTGATGCTGTCCTGTATACCAGCATCCAGTTTTCAATACTGAAATTGTAGACCCAGGCATCTGATATATCTTAAGTTTCTTATAAAATAAGGTTGGATTTACTTTTCCAGTTCCATAAACATTGATAGTTCAAGTGTCTATAGTTTTTTTATTTTTTTTGACAGGCCACTGAGATATCACATAGTAGATGTCGAATCCTTAGGCAGTGAAAAGGTATCAAAGCAGATAATTACTCTAGAAACTTATTTGACCAGTTATTAAGACACAAATGATTTACTTAGCTATTGTCTTTGGGAAGAGCTTCAAAGACATAAGAAAATACCTTATTAGAGTAGAATTGAATTGGAATAATACTATTAAGCTTCCAGTGATTTCTTCATTTGCTTGCGGTGTAAAATATGTTATTAATTCATTTGGAATGAAGAGAGATCATTTGGTCTTTGTGTAATTATTAAATTAGGAAGTGCTCAATATCACCTGTAACATATCACATTTATGAAATTGTTCATATCTCTTCTAAATCTGTTTATTTACAGTTTTAAAAATTGGTCTCCTCTACTATCTTCAAAAGAAGTGAAGATGTAATTAATAGAATATCACAACCTAAATTTGATGAAAAACTATGTGACATCATTTCTTAAGCAAACATAAAAATTTTAAAGTATATAAACATACTTGAAGTATATATAATTCTTAAAATCTACTGAAGGCTCATCTGAAATTCCATGTCCCTTTTTTGCTTCTAACAATAACAAATGTCTTTAAAACACCAAAAGAGTATCTGTATCATTTTATAGAAAACTTTTATTTCCTTCAAAGAATCAATCATTTTGGTTCATTATTATTTGCTAATATTAGCTCAATTTGGGAGAAGCCATAGAAAAATTCAGTAAAATGCATAGTATACATTAGTAAATAATACATACATTCAAGAGTAATTATTTTGTTGTACTTGGCAGACAACCAATTAAAACTCAGTTAAGCCAAAGAATATGCATTGGTTACTATAGTAGAAAGTTCTAGAGTGGTCCTTCAGGCCTGACTGAATCCAGGCAGTTAGATATTTATTTCTCTCTCATAGCTTTGTTATCCACTGAATTATATTTTAAGGCAAGAAACATGAGGTCAAAATAGCCACCAGGTTTTCAGTCCTCCAGTTCGTTAATTCAAGTTGAAAGGGATTGTTTCTTTGTAGTTTTTTAAAAAGGGTGCTGATTGTATTTTCTTTATTTTAACTTATTCCACATTCCCACTCATAAGTGAATAATTACTATTAGGATCATGGTACTGCCATTGACCAGTCCTGGAACTACAGCTAGGGTCACCCTTAGCCAAACATAACTACCAGGAAAGAGGAAAAAAAAAAAAAGTCTGCAAAGGAAATTCAGGGTGCTATTACCAGAATATTTTGGTGGAGGGGAGGGTGTTGGGTGGTGACAGGAAAGCATAGTGTATGTATAAACAAGTTAAATGCAGGGTGCAGGGTGAAATGCACACTGTTATGTGAAAATGCTACTGAGCAAAAGAGCAACAGTTTAAATGGTAAAATAACATTTGGTATTAGAATAACATAAAGAACAATCACAAAACATTGATATTGAAAATGTTCGATTGCTGAAGAAGGGCCTTCAGGCATAACCAATCATCATATAAAATATTGGTGATGTCTGCATCTCTGAGACTGTTTCCTCATCTGTGAAACAATTATTATTATATGGCTAACAGCAGACAAATTTGTATATGTTTTTGTGCTTGATTATATTGGTACAGAAGGTATTCCAGATTTTACCGAGCAGTGTATGTATAATTTGAGTGAAATTATATCCAATTATGGTGATACTACAATTAATGTAGAATACAGACAAGTATTAGTAAAGCTCCCGACCGCTGCATCCTGCAACTGTGGGAAATTGGAAGACTGAATAATAGCTCACTGAAATTTGCCTTTAAATATATTGCACACTCTATGGATATTAACATGAACAAAATTAAACTCCACAGGACTGGAAAAATTAAACTAATGACTTTTTATGTAATCCAAGTTAATGAATGCTTTCTGGCCCAACTTTTCGTTAGGAAATCAACCACAGTTTCCTGATTTCCTTCATTCCAGCAGCTTCCATTGTGTGACTGTTTACAAAAGTGCTTAATAAGAACTCTTAATGAAGACTTGCTCTCTTTTCATTAATACTGAAATGTATTTACATAGTTTTACAGCTTTTAGGAGTAACAGGTAGTCTTAAAAATTAATAGTGGCTTTTAGAATAGATGTTGTATAAATATTTTCTTTAATCATCTGAATATTTCTAATGTATTAAAATACTATAGTAAAGAATAGAGAATCACAATTTCATCTTCTAAATGAAAGAAGGAAGGCAGGGGCTTAAAATATGGGGAATATTTGGAAAAAATTCTGTTTCTATTGATCTTGGTGCTGAAATCCATATTCGCAGGGTTTTACAGATATGTTCACTCCCCTGTATCCTCAGGGGATTGATTCCAGGGCCACCAGCAGATACCAAAATCTGTGCATACTCAAGTAAGGCTGCAGTAGCCATGCGGAACCCGTATATATGAAAAGCCAGCCCTCCATATCCACGTTTTACATTCTGTGAATACCAGTACTTTCCATTTGAGTTTGATTTCAGATGCAAACCCTGTGGGTATGGAGGGCCAAGTGTATTTATTAAAAAAAAAATCTACCTGGAGGTGGACCGACCCATGCAGTCCAACCTGTGTTGTTTAAGGGTTAACTGTATTCCTAGTGTTAAATGATAAACTAAATGCAAAGATGATTAATCCCCAAAATTAAATGTAATTAAATCTATAAAACACACTAGACAAATACAATTTTAATCATTAATTAAATACACTTTTAAAAACACCTGTGATAATGACTTACTTGCTTTAATGCCTTTGTATCAATTCATAGCTAAGGTCTTAACGTAAGATTTAGCAATTTAAATTACGTTATTTTATGGACAAAATATATAATAATGACATTAAGGGAAAATAAACTGTAAGGCAACCTTTCCTAATCTAATGATGGAATTGAGTGAACAGTTGGTTACCTGTAAGAAGAGCAACCAAGTTAAAAGAATAAAACGTTCAAAGGCCATAAGCCATAAGGTTTTTATGAAAACCTCAGAAAACCTCATTGAAATGCCATGAAATTAAAAAGCACACCAAAAGGAAAATAAAAGTTATAAAATAAGCATTCAATAAACATATAAACTTATACTTCACTTGCAGTTAAAGAAGTACACATTTTAGAAAAAGGGATAAAATTTGCCAAATTGTCAAAGATTAAAAAGATAATTGCTGGGAAGTGTGGTTTAAATTCAGCATTGTCATATGCTATTGGTGGAAGTCTATGTTGACATATCTTTCCAGAAAATAACCTGATGATGTGCATTAAAATACTAAAAAGATCAAATACTTTTTGACAGGAATTTCACTTTTATGAAGCCACAAGAAATAAATAATTTGGGCCGGGCGCAGTGGCTCATGCCTGTAATCCCAGCACTTTTGGAAGTTGAGGCTGACAGATCATGAGGTCAGGATTTCGAGACCAGCCTGCCCAACATAGTGAAAGCCCATCTCTACTAAAAATACAAAAATTAGCTGGGCGTGGTGGCACATGCCTGTAGTCCCAGCTACTTGGGAGGCTGAGGCAGGAGAATTGCTTGAACCTGGGAGGCGGAGGTTGTGGTGAGCCGAGATTGCACCACTGCACTCCATCCTGGGCAACAGAGCGAGACTCCATCTCAAAAAAAAAAAAAGAAAGAATTTGAGATGAGCACAACAAATATTTATGTACAAAGATATGTACTATGGTTTTATTTACAGTGTGAAAGATATGGAACTTTTAAACACACCAACGGAAATAATAATTACTGTATATTGCTGAGTTTTTATGTGTCGGGCTATATGATTAGTGCTGTGTATAGATTATCTCATTTATGTCTAAGTTCACATTAATATGCAGTTAGCATTTATTTCTAAATTTACCTACCACTATGTTTATAATAGACAAGATTTTTCTCAGTGGAACTCACCTTTCATCACGTGTGGAAGCTGTATGACTTAGGAGAATTGGCCATATTTGTATCTCCAGGAATACTGCCTGATTGTCTTAAGCCAGTCAGTGATTCTGCACCCCTACCAATTGGTTAGCAATGTGCTTATCACTTCATTGGCTCAGATAAGAATGAATACCCAAACTTTCGATTAGGGATTGAGCTAGAAATTATCTTCTCCCCTTAGTTCTTAGTTATGTAAATGGCACAATAAAAATCGAGAATAGGAAATTTATCAATAAGAAAAAATTGTGCAGAAAGCTAACTGGGCAAAAGCTAATGCTACGTAAAAGAAATGCAAATCAAAAACAA
Organism: Homo sapiens; assembly: GCF_000001405.40. Taxonomy (NCBI): domain Eukaryota; kingdom Metazoa; phylum Chordata; class Mammalia; order Primates; family Hominidae; genus Homo; species Homo sapiens. Next base: position 188,377,794 of record NC_000002.12, read on the forward strand.
TATATACGCCAATTTTCCTATTGTAATTCAATTTTCCTATTGAATTAAAATAAATTTTTAAAACCCTGATATATATGAACAGTATAGGAAGATTGGGGTGAGGTTTGCATACTTTTTCACTTCTCTGGGAGTGTAATTTGCCCTATTTTCCAGACAAAGTATTGTAATTATATACAGACTTTGATCCGGTAATTTCCATTCTCCCTTGTCTCAATAGTCAGATGTTTAAGCAGTGATTTATATAACAGATAAAATATATACATAGAATATATCATTCAATACTTTAAGTGTTTCACAAACTTTGTAATCGTTTATTTCTCAAAGCAACAGTGTGTTAGATTATATGGATGAGGAGACTAAGGCATATCCTGTCAAGGCAACATAGTTTTGGAATCAGGCTTATAACACTTTCCAGGCCAGCTACAGTCATTTTAGTCACTACGCTACTTTGCTTCAATTCTACTCATCACAGTGTCTCTATATAGAAAAAAAAAAAAAAAAGAAAAAATCTTAAATGTGGAACATTACAATGGGCAAAAAAAATTATAAGGTGGCATGTTACGCCAATAGTATTTATTTGAAGACTTATTTAATGATATAAGAATATGATTGCACTGTAGGTGACAAAAGGTAGGAAATGAAATTGTACGTTGTCTTTGTATTGCTATAAAGGAATACCTGAGGCTAGGTAATTTATAAAGAAAAGACGTTTATTTGGCTCATGGTTCTGCAAGCTATATACGACACATGGTGCCACCATCTGCTTCTGGTGAGGACTTTAGGCTGTTTAAACTCGTGGCAGAAATTGAAGTGGAGCCTGCATGAGCAGAGATGGTATGGCAAGAGAAGAGGCAAAAGAGAGAGGGGAGGGAGGTGCCAGGCTCTTTTTAACAAACAGCTCTTACAAGGGACTAACAGAGCAAGAACTCACTCATTACCACCAGGATGGCACCAAGCCATTCATGAGGGATCTGCCCCCATGACCCAAATACCTCTCACTAAGTCCCACGTTTAACATTGGGGATCACATTTCAACATGAGGTTTGGAGGGTGAAATAGCTGAATTATTGCATATGTATAGTACAATTTCAGTTTTAGAAAAAGACTGGGTAGAAGGTGTCTAAATATTATCTTTTAGTTTATCTTAATATAGATGATTTTTATTTTCCTTTATAATTTTCTAATTTTCTAAGTGTTTTGTTCATACACACACTCACACTATATATACTGAAAAATATAATAACCAAACGTTTCAAGGAAAGTGACTTGTGTTTTCCACTAATTTCAGCAAAAAGAGTGAATGACTTGATAATTTTTCTCCTACTTTTTCTAATCAGAAAAATTTCCTGCCCTTGAGAGCTTCAAAGCACTGCAGAAAGTTTAACAGCACATGCAATGGAAAGCATGGATTGAATTTGATTTTAAATTGATAAATTTAAAATTCTTATGTGTTCTGAAGAGTTTGTCATGTCTCATCCGCTATCGCTTTTTTCATTACCATACTGAAAGCTGAGGGTATGGAACTCAGAATGCATTTGGAAGAATAAAAGGTGATATGAATTCTTGGTCTTATCTGATTTCCTGGAATAGAAAAACCCAGGATTAAAGCTATCTTTGTCTGGTTCTATTCCTATATAAATTAAATTATAAAGATCTTTTCAGTTTTACATCTTATAAATATGAATGCTTTGAGTCTATTTTGCATTAGCATCTAACAAATATACACACATTTCCAAGAAGTAATTTGCTTGTCTCATCCCCTCCCTTTCATGTCTCTTCAGAGCCGCCTTGGCAATATGATCTTCCTAAATACATATCTAAAACACGTATCTTACTGTACTGCTTCCCTGTTTAATCATACTTCCATCACCTTTAGGGTAAAATACAAATGTTATAACATGGCAGTCAGGAGCCTTCCTGATGTAGCCTCATCTTATTACTAAAGTTTTATACAAAAGAGTTTCCTATAAATATTCTATTTTAAAATAAAATATTCTAACTAATAGCCTATCCTTGAAGATGGCGTGTTCGTTCTTATTCCTGTGCCCTTGCTTATGGTGTTTCCTTTGCCATCCGTGGCTTTCCCCACCATCCTCACTGGACAGCTTCTGTGAACTGAAGGTTAATGAGTCTTATCTCTTTGAGGAAGACTTTTCTGCAGCACCTAGCCTTGCCTTGAACATAGTCCTTATCACACTGATGCATGCAAAGGAGTATACAGACTTATTTTCCTCTCACTAGTAACTAAACAATTGGGCATTCAATAGCTGTCCAGTGAATATTGGTTTAATGAAGAAAATTACTTTTCTAATTTTATTTTCCTTAGAGTGTAGGGGTATAGGTATGACTATTTGCATGTCATTTCCTTAGTGAGATGACTAGAATACATAGGAAGTGATTGCTCCAAGCTACTTAGGACAATCATCCTAATATCACCTTCTTTGTACCTTTTGCTTGGAACATGGGGTGAAAACATTTGAGAAGGTGTCTTAAAGGCATACTAAGGCATGTGTACTTTGTGCATTGGTGATGTGGCCAAATTACTTGTTAGAGAAATTACGACTGGCTAGGGATGGATAGGTGGGGAGTGTAAACTGGGAGGGAAAACAAACTGGAGATTGTTGTATTAAGCAGAATTGAATTTATTTAACTGCATGTAGGTGGTAAGGGAAAAAAGAGTGATTAATCATGCCAGATTTCAGGTGTGAGCAATCAGTGGGGATTGAACGTTTACTTACTTAAAGTCACAGGACAAACAAGAAAAAAATAGAAAAGAAAATCAGGGCCAAGATCTTATTTTATATATTTTGAATTTAGGAGCTTATAGAGGATAAGAAAGAAATATCCAGGAAAACTCCTAAAACATTTTGCAAATTAGATTAAATACTGTTAAATTATTGGACTTAGGTAAAAAAGAGAATAATGATTTTGAAAATATTTTAAGATCATGATAATGGTGGTCTGTATTTCATATGATGACAAGTAGAAATACAAGTTGGCCTGACTTCTCTGTTTTGCTTGGTTTATTGCATATAGAATATTTAAGATTTACCTGTTACATTAACAAATTGAAGCATTTTGTCATATTGCAGCATTAATAATGTTTTTCTTAAATGGTACTGTTGGGGATAAAGGAAGTTTTAGTAAAGAAATAGTTGGTTTCATTTAATTTCATATACGTCTTCAAATTGTGTGAAAATATATAATAAATGGTGGCAAAACAGTATCAAATTGAGCATATTATGTTCATACTAAAATTTTAAGAAGCATTTGAATTGGAAATCAGGATTTTATATTTTAAAATAAAAATATGTTCAAAAGAGCAGCCCCTAAGCCAGTCTGAGTTTTGCAAGAATATTCAAAGTGCTCTTTCTATGAAAAATCTAATCATATCAGACATAGAATAATAGATCCCATTTGGAAAATATGTCATTTCCTGCAAGAAGAAAGGCAGAAGTAGGCATAAGTTAGTTCTTATTTTTTGATATGTGTATTTTTGTGCTCTTCTTTATTCTGTCACATTGCATAAAATATTCTAGTTTGAAAAGTATTTCCTGCAGTATGACTGGGTTTCAGTCAACGTAAGATAAAAATAAAGGCTACGGGGATGTTAAATTGAATTGACCATTTCAAGGATAATATTTTCTTTTATTAAATTTTGGAATTAGATCAATTGAAGAGTTTTATTAACAATTATTTATCTTGATTAAATTGAATTGACCATTTTAAGGAAAATATTTTCTTTTATAAAATTTGGAATGAAATGTATTGAATAGTTTTGATAACAATTATTTATCTCGAATTATTTCTCTCTAATTTCTGTTCATAAGATCAATAGTTGTCAAAAGAAAAATGGAAAAACTATATCATCCTAAAAAAGAACTAATTTTGTTCTTCCTTTTCTCTCCTCTCATTTAAGACCAACAAACAAGAAAAACATGATCTGATAAAAGACTGTGGAAATTATGACATGGTTTTATAGTTTACCTTTTAACTATGTGTCATGCTTGAAATTTCCTGTCCAGGATAAACACATCTATTTTTAGAGCTGGAAGTATGTGATGATACAACCCTTACATTTTACAGCAAGGTGAAATGAATTGTGTCATTCATACATGCTAAGATCCAGTGAATGCTAAGAAAATAACATACGATTTAATAAATAATAGTGTTACTGAGTAAGCAAACATTATTTTTCACTAAAATTATAAAATATAAATATATGGCCTTAAAATATACTGTGCTAATATTTTAATTCAAAATTTAAAATTGTTGCTTTTTGTAGTAGATGCTGTTGATGATCAGCCTATAACCTCTCTTTTAGTGCTGTAGTTCAGACTGGCAAAATTTCTAATGCTTATCCTGCATTTCTCTACCTAAGGGATTCTTTGGCCACAAGAGACCACTTTGCCAACCAAATAGGCTGAAAGTTCCAGGGAATTAATGCCCCTGGGAGCAACCCTCAGCTAATGACTAATGAGGATTGGTGTATAAATATGCTAGCTCTCATTCTTACAGTGAGATATATCTGAGGGGTGTATTTCACAGTGGATGTCTGATTTTCCCCAGCCAGATTAAGCTGCAGTTGCCAGTAGTGTTACAGGCCTGATAATGATCTCTGTGTTGGTAGGAGGTCTTCCACTCCGGGTCTCACTTCTTTCTTTTCATCCCTGCTAATATTTCCTGGGATCATCTCCCAAATAAACTTCTCGCATTGAAGTTATTATTACCTCAGTGTTTGCCTCTGGGGCAACCTAAACTGAGATTCTTTCTTTCTCTCTAAAGTCATGTTAGAATATGAAAAAGAAGCTGGGCGCGGTAGCTCACACCTGTAATCCACCCAGCACTTTGGGAGGCCAAAGCGGGCAGATCACCTGAGGTCAGGGGTTCGAGACCAGTCTGGCCAACATGGCGAAACCCCCTCTCTACTAAAAATACAAAAATTAGCCGGGCATGATGCCACACAGTTGTATTCCCAGCTACTCGGGAGGCTGAGACAGAAGAAAACAAATACATTGAACAAATAGGTCAATAGGCTTCTGAAGAATATTGTGGCTAAGCTGGAAAACGATGGCTTTCAAAGTATTCAGATGGCTTAGATTGAAACACAGAGGAAGAGATAAAATAATATTTGAGATCTATCTAAGAAAGTCAAAAATATAGATATGGCATCATCAATGTCTGTATCAAGGGGTTTGTATCAAAGTTATGACGGGAAGCAGGGCACAAGACTTAGATATGTTTCTCCATTCTTCCCCCTCCCTCAAAAAGATCAGGTCTTTTTAGTGTTTTGGCAAAAGATACTATGCTGTGAATTCTGGTACTATTTGAACTTATGTCAGCGGTACATTCGAAATAATATAATTAAAGGAAGACATAATTTGTGCTGTTGTGTCTACCCAGAAAGAATTTTTGTTTTGTTTGTTGGAATAAAAATAGAAAAGTCTTAACCAATTAACATATCTCTTCTAGTTATAGCATGATTATGAATAGAAGGATAAGCTATCTAAATGCCTTGCCGTAAGAGTCAAAGTAGAATGAAAATGAAAGTAAATCAGTGCCTTCTAAAATTCAGTTTCACCTTCTTAATCATCATGAACAGGGTATGTGCTTGGTTAGTCCAAATAAATCATATGTGAAAGAGATAGTTGGGGCTACTTCTTGTTCAAGGGGGAAAGGCATATATTGTTAAAGAACTATCACCAGGCTTTAATAGTAACATATCTGTGAGTTAAAACATTTAACACATCATCTACAAATCTTGCTATTTTCCATTACCTAGGTATCAGTAATAATGTTTTCCAAATATTTACATATTTTATCATTATTTCCCTATTATTTGGTAACTTTCTTGAACATTTGCAAGAAGCATAATTGGAATTTTAAAAGATATGCTGGACTTCTAAATTAAAATAAACAGAAATGTAATTATTGATTAATTCTAAGTCCAATTATATTTTTCTTTTTAGTTATTTATGATTCCATCTGATATACATAGGAGAGAAACTGATAGAAGAATTCTGATGGCAACTGTATGATAGAAGCTATATAAAGTCAAGTGTCCATTTTCTTTCAACTATATTTGAGCATACCCAGGTAAGAATAAATGATTGTTTATACATTTTCCATTATTTCCAAAAAGGACTTGAAATTATAAAAATGCTTTTATTATGTGTTGAATGTTTAAAAATATAGTCTTTTGTTGTAAAAAATAGTAAAATTCATAAAAGTAAAATAAAATTAAAAGCACTGATGAGCCTTTTTTCTGAAAATAACTTCTGTCATCATTTTGTTCTATATAATTTTATTTTTGTTTTGTTGGATTTTTCCTTTAAGCAAAGTTACAATGATAGTATTATATTTAGTTGATTTTCATGCAACTGATAAAGACATACTCATGACTGGGAAATTTACAAGAGAAAGACGTTTAATGGACTTACAGTTCTACATGGCTGGGGAGGTCTCATAATCATGGAGGAAGGTGAAAGGCACGTCTCACACAGCAGCAGGCAAGAGAAGAGAGCTTGTGCAGGGAAACGCCTGTTTTTAAAACCATCAGATTTTGTGAGACCCACTCACTATCATGAGAACAGCACAGGAAAGACTCGCCCCCATGATTCAATCACCTCCCACCAGGTTCCTGCCACAACATGTGGGAATTGTGGGAGGTACAAATCAAGATAAGATTTGGTTGGGGACACAGCCAAACCTTATCATTCCATCCCTGGCCCCTCTCAAATCTCATGTCCTCACATTTCAAAACCAAACATGCCTTCCCAACAATCCCCCAAAGTCTTAACTCATTTCAGCGTCAACTCAAAAGTCCACAATCCAGAGTCTCATTAGAGACAAGGCAGGTCCTTTCTGCCTATGAGCTTGTAAAATCAAAAGCAAGTTAGTTACTTCCTAGATAAAATAGGGTACAGGAATTGGGTAGATACAGCCATTCCAAATGGGAGAAATTGGCCAATGCAAAGGGGCTACAGGCCCCACGCTGTTCCAAAATCCAGTGGGGCAGTCAAATCTTAAAGCTCCAAAATGATCTCCTTTGATGCTATGTCTCACATCCAGATCACGCTGATGTAAGAGGTGAGTTCCCATGGTCTTGGGCAGCTGCGCCTCTGTGGCTTTGCAGGGTATAGCTGCCCTCCTGGCTGCTTTCATGGGCTGACATTGAGTGTCTGAGTCTTTTCCAGGTGCAGGGTGCAAGTTGTTGGTGGATCTACCATTCTAGGGTCTGGAGGATGGTGGCCCTCTTCTCACAGCTCCACTAAGTGGTGCCCCAGTAGGGACTCTGTGTGGGGGCTCTGACCCCACATTTGCCTTCCACACTGCCCTAGGAGAGGTTCTCCATGAGGACCCTACTCCTGCAGCAAACTTCTGCCTGGACATCCAGGCATTTCCATACATCTTCTGAAATCTAGGCAGAGGTTCCCAAACCTCAATTCTTGACTTCTGGGCATCCACAGGCTCAATACCATGTGGAAGCTGCCAAGACTTGGGGCTTGCACCCTCTAAAGCAACAGCCAAGCCATGCCTTGGCCACTTTTAGTCATGGCTGGAGCAGCTGGGATGCAGGCCCATCAAGTCCCTAGACTTCGTAAAGCAGAGGGACCCTGGGCCAGGAAATCATTTTTTCCTCCTAAACCTCCGGGGTTGCCATGAAGACCTCTGGCATGCCCTGGAGACATTTTTCCCCATTATCTTGATGATTAACATTTGGCTCCTTGTTACTTATGCAAATTTATGCAGCTAGCTTGAATTTCTCCTCAGAAAACGGGATTTTCTTTTCTATTGCATTGTCAGACTGCAAATTTTCTGAACTTGTATGCTCTGCTTCCCTTATAAAACTGAATGTCTTTAACAGCACCCAAGTCACATCTTGAATGCTTTGCTGCTTAGACATTCCTTCCTCCAGATACCCGAAATCACCTCTCTCAAGTTCAAAGTTCCACAAATCTCTAGGGCAGGAGCAAAATGCCGCCAGTCTCTTTCCTAAAACATAACAAGAGTCACCTTGGCTCCAGTTCCCAACAAGTTCCTCATCTCTGTCTGAGACCACCTCAGCCTGGATGTCATTGTCCATATCATTATCAGCATTTTGGTCAAAGCCATTCAACAAGTCTTTAGGGAGTTCCAAACTTTCCCACATTCTCCTGTGTTCTTCTGAGCCCTCCAAACTGTTTCAGCCTCTGCCTGTTAACCAGTTCCTAAGTTGCTTCTACATCTTTAGGTATCTTTTCAGCAGCATCCAACTCCTGGTACCAATTTACTGTATGAGTCTGTTTTCACACTGCTGATGACGACATACCCAAGACTGGGCAATCTACAAAAGAAAGCAGTTTAATGGACTTACAGTTCCATGTGGCTGGGGAGACCTCACAACCATGGAAGAAGGTGAAAGGCACATCTCACACAGCAGCAGACAAGAGAAGAGGGCTTGTGTAGGAAAACTCCCATTTTTAAAACCATCAGATCTTGTGATGGTTTTAAACCCACTCACTATCATGAGAACAGCGTAGGAAAGACCCACCTCCATGGTTCAATCACCTTCCACAAGGTTTCTCCCATGATGTGTGGGAATTGTGGGAATTACAATTCAAGGTGAAATTTGGGTGGGGATACAGCCAAACCATATCAATTATATATATACTTTGTTGATTTTCTTTATTATTGTGTAACAAATTTGTTTTCTTCTGTTCTTTGAGAATATGAATTAGTGTTTTGTATTTTCTATTATATCTGTTAATATATAATATGTTTTAAAATATTTTTATTTTGTATTTATTATTCAGTCAATATTCTTATAGATAAATTGATATGTACATCACTTGGTTTGCATTAGTAGCATTACTAGAATTGGTATCACTGGCTCAATGACTGTGATCTTTTAAAGGCTTTTTATTGTTATTGCTGAGTTTACCGGTAGAAGGTAGTAACAAGTTAAAGTTTTCATTAGCCAGTTTTGAAAATATTGAATCACTGATTAGTGTTTTCTCATTCAAATAATTTTCCTAATGAAACCCAGTTTAAGTTGAAAAAAATGAAAATTAAATTAAAATTTTAAATTTTGGTTGCAGGCAGTAGCAATTTCTTTCTCACATCTATTCAGCAATATATTCCCTTACATAACTAAGCCTAGAGGAAAAGTGAATGTTATATGGCCGAGTGTGGTGGCTCATGCCTGTAATCCTGCACTTTGGGAGGCCAAGTCGGTGGATTAACTGAGGTCAGGAGGTCAAGACCAGCCTGGCCAACATGATGAAACCCCGTCTCTACTAAAAATACAAAAATTATCTGGGTGTGGTGGCAAGTGCCTGTAATCCCAGTTACTTGAGAGGCTGAGGCAGGAGATCCCCTTGAACCCAGGAAGCAGAGTTTGCAGTGAGCCGAGGTTGCACCACTGCACTCCAGCCTGGGCAATAAGAGTGAGACTCCATCTAAAAAAAAAAATAAAGAAAAGTGTATATTATATATGTATAATCTTCCACATTGTTTAAAAATACACCATTTAGAAATAATATCAAGTATACATTTATCTAATTAATATTTATTGAAAACTTATACTTATCAAGCACTGTGATTAGCAATGGCAGTGAGGATGGTAAACATTAGAGAAGGGAAGGCACATAAATAGTTCCTTGTCACCTCTAACTTTCAATAAAATATGGCAAGATAAGAAATACGTTTTGGTTTCTTATGTTTAAGTAGGCTGTATTAAGTGACAAGAAAGAAGTAAAATAATAGGGCAGTTTGTAATGGTAACACTTTCAGCTTGGGAATTGAGGAACACTTTCACAAACAAAAGACCACTTGAGTTGTGCTTTTTAAGGTAGAGAGGAACACTGACAGGCAAACATTTAAATGGAGAGTCAACTTGGAGCAAAGGTACTGGGCTGGCAAACCATAGGGATGGGATGTTCAGGAAATTGGAAAGAGAGATTAGATATAGCAGAGTAGTTGGAAGTGTGTTCTGTGATTTGGATTCTTATAACTAGGCATTTGTGTCTCATTATTATATGGAGAGGAACAATTGCAGGGGAGCCAGATGAACCATGCTATCCTTTAAGAAGTTTTTTTTTTAAATTTTTTTGTTATTATTATACTTTAAGTTTTAGGGTACATGTGCACAATGTGCAGGTTAGTTACATATGTATACATGTGCCATGCTGGTGTGCTGCACCCGTTAACTCGTCATTTAGCATTAGGTATATCTCCTAATGCTATCCCTCCCGCCTCCCCCCACCCCACAACAGTCCCCAGAGTGTGATGTTCCCCTTCCTGTGTCCCTGTGTTCTCATTGTTCAATTCCCATCTATGAGTGAGAACATGCGGTGTTTGGTTTTTTTGTCCTTGCGATAGTTTACTGAGAATGATGATTTCCAATTTCATCCATGTCCCTACAAAGCCACATTTTCTTAATCCAGTCTATCCCTTTAAGAAGTTTAATCTAGGCCAACTGCATTGGCTCATGCCTGTAATTCCAGCACTTTGGGAGACTGAGGCAGGTGGATCGCTTGAGGACAGGAGTTCAAGACCATCCTGGAAAACATAGTGAGAGCCCATCTCTACCAAAAAAAAAAAAAAAAAGTAGAAAAACTTAGCCAGACAGGATGGTGTATACTTGTAGTCCCAGCTCCTTGAGAGGCTGAAGTGGGAGGATCACTTGAGTCCAGGAGGTGAAGGTCACAGTGAGACGTGATCACACCACTGCCCTCCAGCCTGGGTGACAGACCAAAACTCTGTCTCAAAAAATCAAAAAAAACAAAAAACAAAAAGAAGTTTAATTTAAAAGTGATATGTGTGTTAGACTAATGAAGAGAGAGCAGCTCAAAGGAAGGCAGATTAGTTTGCAGGCTTTTCCTTACATTTTGATCACTATTTGCTGAACCCTTGCCGCTCGCCAGGCACTAAGCTAGGAACTGTAGGAAAATAAAACGATGAAGACATAATCTCTACCCTTGAGGAGTTTATAATGTAGCAGATGTACCTGTATGACAAACAAATGAATAGAATACACCATGAAAGCACAAGAGAATCATGTTTAAGTAAAGACTAGTGAGTAATAATTATGTTGGCATGCAGATACTGAGTTACCAGTAGCCTAGGTTTCCCCAAAAACATTAAGTCTGATCAAGGTTGCCCAAGAGGCAATGTTTCTAAATTTTTAAATAATTCAGGAAGAAACAATAGAAGCTTTGTCTAGGGCGAAAAAAATGTAAATAAAAAAGAAAGTGTGGTAGATGAGACTTGGTAGTAGTAGAAGCAGTTAAGCGGGGATTAAAGAAACAGGCCTTTTGTTTAGGCAAGAGGGGCATGTTGATGACAGGCACAGAAATGGGGAAAACAGAGTAAAAGCGGGTTTTGTTATTGTTGGTAAAATTTGTTTGGCTTTGAACACTGAAGAATTTTCTCTCCTGCTTCACTTTCCTGTGTTCAAACCTTTGCTAGAGCACTCATAACATTTTAAAATTTCATTGCAATTCCTTATTGAGAATTGAGGAATATTATTGAGGATTAATTAAGGATTCATTTATTTATTACTAAAAATTATTTCCATCCTTTAAAAATAAAAGTATAATAGAGTAATTTACACCAAACAAAACAAAAATATAAATAAAAGACCTGATTTCATTCATTACCACAATGTATATAATTTAGCCTTACACTTTCCAGCAGTCACAAAAATGGATATATGTTCTTTCTCTAAAAGCTGAGATAAATGTATTATGAGTCTTAGTGTAATGGATAGGAAAAGTGTCCTTACCTCCTAGAGGTACCTTATATATTAAATTGTTAAAAAATAAAGGGAATTAATTCTTTAAAAAAATTTCAGTAGGTCTTGGGGTATCAGCGGTTTTTAGTTACATGGATAAATTGTACAGTGGTGAAGTCTGAGATTTTTGCACACTTGTCACCTGAGTAGTGTGCATTGTACCCAATATGTAGTTTTTTATTCCTCACCCAGTTCCCACCCTCCCCATTCTGGATGTAGCTATCCAGAGTCTCCAAAGTCTCTTATACCACTCTGTATGCCTTTGCATACCCATAGCTTAGCCAAGCGAGAACATGTGGGATTTGTTTCTTTTATTCCTGAGTTATTTCACTTGGAATAATGGCCTTGAGCTCCATCCAAGTTGCTGCAAAAGACATTATTTCATCCTTTTTTTTTTTTAAATGGCTGAGTAGCATTTCATGGTGTACATATAGCACGTTTTCTTTACTCATTGGTCCATGGGCACTTAAGTTGCTTCCATATCTTTGCCTTTGTGAATTGTGCTGCAAAAAACATACGCATGCAGGTGTCTTTTTGTTATGACTTCTTCTACTTTGGGTAGATACCCAGTAGTGGAATGGCTGGATCAAATGTTAGATCTACTTTTAGTTCCTTAAGAAATGTTCATGCTGTATTCCATAGATATTGTACTGATTTACATTCCCATCAGCAGTGTATGTGCTCTGTTTTTGCCACTTCCACGCCAAATCTATTATTGTCTTTTGACTTTTTAATAATAGCTATTCTTGCAGGGCATCTCATTGTGGTTTTAATTGGCATCGTCCTGATGATTAGTGATGTTGAGCATTTTTTCAAATGTTTGTTGGGTATTTGTTTATCTGCTTTTGAGAAATATCTATTTATGTCATTTGTCCACTTTTAGATGGGATTATTTGTTTTTTTCTTGCTGATTTATTTAAGTACCTTGTGGATTTTGGATATTTGTCCATTGTCGGATGCATAGTTTGCAAATATTTTCTCCCATTCTATGTGTTGTCTGTTTATTCTGTTGATTATTTCTTTTGCTGTATGGAAGATTCTTAGTTTAATTAGGTCCCATTTATTTATATTTGTTTTTGTTGCATTTGCTTTTGTGGTCTTAGTCATAAATTCTTTGCCTAGGCTGAAGTTCAGAAGAGTTTTTCCTGGGTTATCTTCTAGGTTTTTTATGGTTTCAGGTCTTAGATTTAAGGATTTGACCCATCTTGAGTTGTTTTTTTAAAATAAGATGAGAGATAGGGATCCAGTTTCACTCTTCTACATGTAGCTATCCAGTTTTCCCAGAACCATTTATTAAGTAGGGTGTCCTTTCCCCAAGTTATGTTTATATATGCTTTGTCAAAGATCAGTTGGTTATAAGTATTTGACTCTATTTCTGTCTTCTCTATTATGGTCCATTGGTCTATGTGTTTACTTTTATGCCAGTACCATGCTGTTTTGGTAACTGTAAACATATAATATAATTGAAAATGTAATGCCTCTAGATTTGTTCTTTTGCTTAGGATTGCTTTGGCTGTTTGAGCACTTTTTTTCATTTCATATGAATTTCAGGATTTTTTTTCTAATTCTGTGAAAATGATGTTGCTATTTTGATGGAATTGCATTGAATCTGTAAATTGCCTTGGACAGTATGGTCATTTTCACATTATTTATTCTTCCAATCCATGAGCATGGAATGTGTTTCCATTTGTTGGGGTCATGTATGATTTCTTTCAGCAGTGTTTTTTAGTTCTCTTTGTAGAGATCTTTCACATCCTTGGTTAAGTATATTCCTAGGTATTTTATTTTAATTTTTGCAGCTATTGTAAAAGAGACTGAGTTCTTGATTTGATTCTCAATGTGGTTGTTGTTGGCATATAGCAGTGCTACTGATTTGTGTAAACTGATTTTGTAACCTGAGACTTTACTGAATTTGTTTATCAAATCTAGGAGTCTTTTGGAGAAGTCTTCATGGTTTTCTATGTATACAATTACATCATCAGTGAATAGTGATGGTTTGACTTCCTGTTTTCCAATTTGGATGCCCATTATTTGTTTATCTTGCCTTATTGCTCTGGTTAGGACTTCCAGTACTATATTGAATAGAAGTGCTGAAAATGGGCATCCTTTTCTCATTGAGGTTCTCAGGGGAAATGCTTTAAACTCTTCCCCATTCAGTATGATTTGGCTGTGAGTTTGTGTTATATGGCTTTTATTATTTTGAGGTATGTACCTTCTATGCCTAGTTTTTTGAGGGTTTTTACCATAAAGGAAAACTGGACTTTACTGAATGCTTTTTCTGTATCTATTGAGATGTTCATATGGTTTTTGTTTTTAATTCTCTTTAGGTGATGTGTGTTGCATTATTGACTTGTGTATGTTAAACCATTCCTGCTTCACTGGGAGAAAACCCACTAGATCATGCTGTATTATTTTTTTGATGTGCTGTTGCATTTGGTTAGCTAATATTCTATTGAGGATTTTTGCATCTATGTTCATCAGGGATACTGGTCTATTGTTTTCTTGTTTTATTATGTCCTTTCCTCACTTTGGTATCAGGGTGATACTGGCTTCATATAATGAATTAGGGAGGATTACCTCTTTCTCAATCTTTTCACTAAGATTGGTATCAATTGTTTTTTGAATGTCTGATAGAACTCAGCTGTGAATGCACCTGGCCCTGGGCTTTTATTGTTGGCAGTTTTTGTTTGTTATGAATTCAATTTCACTGCTTTTTATTGGTTTGTTCAGGGTTTTTATTTCTTCTTGATTTAATCTAGAAGAGTTGTATGTTTTCAGGAATTTGTCCATTTTCTCTAGACTTCCTAGTTTGTGTGCATAGAGGTGTTCATAGTAGTCTCAAATGATCTTTTGTATTTCAGTGTTGTTGGTTATAATGTCCCATTTTCATTTTTAATTTAGCTTATTTGAAATGTTTCTCTTCTTTGTTAATCTAGCTAATGGTCTATCTAGTTTGTTTATCTTTTCAGAGAACCAGCTTTTTGTTTCATTTATCATTTGTATTGTTTTCTTAAATTTCATTTAGTTCTGCTCTGATCCTCATTATTCCTTATCTTCTGCTAGTTTTGAGTTTGGTTTGTTCTTGTTTCTCTATTTCCTTGAGATGTGACATTAGGTTGTCAATTTGTGATCTTTCAGATTTTTGATGTAGGCATTTAGCAATATAAATTTTGCTTTTAGCATTGCTTTTGCTTCAGAGATTTTGTAACTTATGTCGCTATTATGCTTCATTTCAAAGATTTTTGAAATTTCCATCTTGATCTTGTTATTAACTCAAAAATCATTCAGGAGCAGATTGTTTAATTTCCATGTATTTGTATAATTTTGAGAGTTCCTTTTAAAGGTGATTTCTAGCTTTATTCTCCTGTGATCTGAGAAGTTGATATGATTGTGATTATTTTAAATTTATTAAGAATTGTTCTGTGGCCTACCATATGGTTTATCTTGGAGAATGTTTCATGAGCTGATGAGAAGACTATATTCTGTGTTTTTTGGATAGAATGTTCTGTAAATATCTGTTAGGTCAGTTTGTTCTAGAGTATAGCTTAAGTCCATTTTTTTTTTGTCTTTCTGTCTTGATGATTTATCTAGTGCTGTCAGTGCCACGTTGAAGTCCCCCCGCGATTACTATGTTGCTACCCATCTCATTTCTTAGGTTTAGTAGTAAGTATTTTTAAAATCTGGGATCTCTAGAGTTAGATGCATATAAATTTAAGATTGTAATATCTTTTTGCTAGACTGATTTTTTTATTATTATGTAATGACCTTCTTTTTTTATTCTTTCTGCTTTAAAGTATGTTTATCTGATGTAAGAATAACTACTCCTGCTTGATTTTGGTTCCCATTTGCATAAAATGTCTTTATCCATCCTTTTATCCTGAGTTTATATGAGTCTTTATGTGTTAGGTGAGTCTCTTGAAAACAGCAGATATTTGGTTTGTGATTTTTTATTCATTCTACCAGCTTGTGTCTTTTAAGTGGAACATTAAGGCCATTTATGTTCAATGTTAATATTGAGATGTGAAGTACCGTTCCAGTTATTATGTTGATCATTACCTAGATACTTTGTTTTCTTCTTTGTTATTGTTTTTTAAGCACCTTGAGTTTTATGCTTTCAAGAGATTCTGTTTTGATGCATATTCACCTTCTCTTTTAAGATTTAGAAACCCTTTTAGCATTTCTTGTAGGGCAGCTCTGGTTCATAATTTATGAAATTTAGTTTTACTGGATACAAAATTATTGGCTGACAGTTATTCTGTTTAAGGAGGTATAGATAGGAACCAGTCCCTCCTGCCTGGTAAGGTTTTTGCTGAGAAGTCTGCTGTCAGTTTGACAGGCTTTCCTTTATAAGTTACCTGATGCTTTTGTCTCACTGCTCTTAGAATTCTTTTTTTAAACATTGGCTTTAGATAGCCTGATATGTGTATGCCTTGGTCATGTCCTTTTTGCAATAAATCTCCCAGGAGTTCTTTGATCTTCTTATATTTAGATATCTAAATCTCTGGCAAGGCCAGGAAAGTTTTTTTCAATTATTCACTCAAAATAAGTTTTCCAAGCTTTTTGCTTTCTCTTCTCCCTTAGGAACACCAGTTATTCTTAGGTTTGATCATTTTATGTAATCCCATATTTCTTACAGACATTATTCATTTCTTCTGTTTATTTTTTCTTTATTTTTGTCTGATTGGGTTAATTCAAAAGCTTTGTCTTTGAGCTCTGAAATTCTGTCTTCTAGTTGGTTTAGTCTATTATTAAAACTTTCCTCTGCATTTTGTACTTCCCTAAATGTGTCTTTCATTTCCAGACTTTCAGGTTGGGTTTTCTTTAAAATATCTTTCTCTTTAGAAAAATTTTCATTCATATCCTGAATTTAAAAAAAAATTAAGTTAGTTTTCACCTTTCTCTTGTATCTCCTTGAGTAGCTTAATTATCAACATTTTGAATTTTTTATTTGGTATTTCAAAAATTTCATCTTGGTTTGGACCCATTTCTGGAGAGCTACTGTGATTTTTATAGTTGGGGGTATTATAGAACCCTGTTTTGTCATATTGCCAGAATTATTTTTCTGGTTTGTTCTCATTTGGGCAGATTATTTCTTCTGTTATTCTTTAATTTGTTTTTGATTTGACTTTTTAAAAAAAATTCCTTTTGTCTCCATTAAGGATGTGACTTTAATGTTTATACTTTATGGTAACCTAATGCAGCTCTTGGTGCTTCCAGGGGTGAAGTCTCTGTATGAGTTCCTTGGTTATAGAGGGTGTTTGTATGATGGCTTTCTCAAATGCTGGTTGTTGCAGTGTGCTTGATGTGTGAAGAAGTTCACTCTCTCCTCTGGGGTTGGAATGGCAAAGGCCTCTTGAAGCTTATCTCATTCCCCTGTGCTGTGAACATTTTTATGTATTTATTTTTTCCACAGTATTTTATTTACTGTGTTGAATAGTTCCAGCTTCAGGCCGGTAGAGAAGGTTTCCCTGGGTAGAAACTGGGTGTGGCTAAAGCAGGTGGATAAATGCAATATCCAGTAGTGGACAGAGGTCCCAGCCTTGACAGAGGCAGGTGGAGAAACTCTCAGTGCAACACACTGAGGTCTTATCAGGGGGAACAGTCGGAGGCACCTGAACTCCCCTGTCAGGCCAGCAGGAAAGCAGTCCACCTCCTAGTTACACTACTGACTCAGTATTTTGGCTATTCAGATCAGACCAGCACAAGTTTTCATCTGCACAAATGTGCATATTCCAAGTAGAGTGGAATTCTAACACTTGTGCAAGCACGAACCTGGCGTGCACTCCACCTGTGGGGATATAATCCCCTTGAATTGTTCCAGAAAGGCTGTCCTTTGGTGTACTCATACTGACCTCCCATGGAAGAAGCCCCAGCTGGGTCTGCAGTGCTGGACAAGGGGCAAAACAAGTCCTCTTCTCCAAGACCCTTCATGAGCACCAGGGCTGCCTGACTGTTGGCATGGAGCTTCAGATTTTCCCCACTGAGCCTGGCAGTGCATTTGTGCCTTTGCTGAAAGGAGCTTCCCATCAGCAGAAAGTTCTGGGATTCAAGTTCTGCCATCCAGATTTTTTTGTCCCATGAGGTGTTCCCTTGATATAGTGCACTTCTCATTCTGCTAGAAGTAGTATCTCTAAAGACAAGACTATAGTGAATGCTGCTGCTCCTCTGAGTCTAGCCACCCAATGGGGCTGCCACACTCTAGGTTGGTGGTGGGGATATTTTCAAGGGATCCAGTGTTGTGACCTATTCTGAGGTCTTCCAGAAGCAGGTACTAGTGCCAGCTCTGGTGGGGGTAGCAGGGGGGTAACATAGCCTCTGTGAGATTTATTGATTATAAATAGCCTTAGTGTGTTGGCTTTCTCAAATGCCAGTTGTAGTAGTAATGAACTGGTCACATGGACAGACTCAGGACCTCATGATTAGCCAGGGTGTTGCAGGCAACAGTGACAGCTGAGGTCAGACACAAGTTTTTCCATCCTTGGTGCTGTGTTATTCTGCCTGCAGATGCTATAATGGACTGTGTCAGTTGGCCTCCAGCCAGGAGGTGGCGCTTGCAGAAGAGTGCTGGATGCTGTAGAAGTGGTGGGATTTGTGCTCTTTTTATGCTACCCAGGGGAAGTACTCTGGTTTCTTAGGCAATTGGTGGGGTCATAGAACTGCCAAAATTTCTGTCTTTCATGTTAAGCTACCAGAACAGCCGGAGGGGCAAAGCCAGGTGGGGGCTGGGTGGGAAAGATCCGAGCTGTGGTTCCCCACATGTGGGACAAACAAGGGCTCCTGTGAGGGCCCAGGGGCGGTTCTTTGGCTACTGGAGTAATGTTTCAGAGAGGAGCACAGCTGCCTCAGCTGTACAGAAGAGTCCATATGCGGAGCGGGGAGTAACAGGTGGCAGTATGTTCCACTCAGCTCCCCACACTGGCTAAAGCAGGTCTCACATCTGCAGTGTTCCACTAGCAGCAGCAAGCTAAGTTCCAGGTAGTTTGCATTCAGAACTTAAAACTGCCCGAGGCCATAAGCCTGCCTGGTGGAGACAGCAACCATGGCTTTCAGGCCACAGCCGTCCCAGTCTGCCGGCAAAGCTGGGACGTCCAGCTCCTGTATTCATGGCTGCAGCACACTTCCCACTTGCCTCCCATTTCTGGCCAAAGGAATTTGTCCCCGCTCGAGATTATATTGTAAATTTCAGTTGGGAACTTCTCTCAACCTGCCACAGTCACCTGAGTTAGCTGGCAGGCTTCCACGAAATTTCCTGTGAAGTAGGATGAGGAATGGTTTCCCTCCATCCGTGCTGGAGACTGGGAATGCACACGTCTCTTCCTGCTGCTGCTCCCACTTTTATATTGCCCACGGCTCCCTAAATTAGTCTCAGCACTGGTTAGGGTAAGGCCTTCCCCTGTAGCCTGGATTGCCAGGTTCTGCAGTAGGAGTGTATACCCTGAAGGCAGTTTATCCCACTCCCACATTCGTAGGACTTGGTTTTCTGCCTGGCTTAGAAGATGCAGGCTGTAGCCTACCACCTCTTTCAAAGCATCTGTGATTTCTTTCAGTTTTCTTGTTAAGTTTCTACCTTGCTTCTTGTAAGAAAATTCACGGTGTGATTATCTACGTACTCTTTTGTCTTTCCAAGTGAGTGAGGCATGATAACAGTGCCTCCAGTCTGCCATCTTGTAGAAAAATGAATTTCTTAATACATAACTATGAGTAGGTACGTTTTTTACAAGTTCAGAATCTACCTTCTCTAAAATATCATTCCTAACTTTTGGAATCTGGACCAGATCCTTCTATGTGCTGTGTACCTTAACACCATGTACATTTCTTTATCATATAACACATAGTGTGGGCTTGTCTACTATACCCTGAGACGATAAGATTCTTGAGGACTGGGTCATTATTTATAATTACAGATATAAATTTAAATCTAAATAAAACTCACTGCAATTTTTTTCATAGAAGATACTTCATAAATGTTGCTGATATGAAAAATTGAATCTATGCCCATTGTTTAATTATCTTCATTGTCACTGACTAACTTAGTCTTACCAGCTTAATACAGTGTTTATGAATTATCTCACAGTTCCTGTGGACCAGGAATGTGGGCACAGCTTAGCTGGTACCTCTGGCTCTAGATCTCTCATGATGTTGCAGTCAAGCTGTCGGCTACAACTGCAGTCATTCACAGCCCAACTGGGGCTGAAGAGGCCACTTCCAGATTCAGCCTCCACAGAGCTGCCTTATGATATGGAAGCTGTCTTCCTCATGAACAATCAATCCAAAGAAGAAAAAGTGATCACCCATGATGGAAGCTACGTTCTTTTATAACCAAATCTAGGAAATGTCATCCCATCTGTAGTGAGTTGAATGTTGGCTTCCAAAAAGATATGTTCAAATCTTAACCTCCAATACTTGTGAATGTGGCATTACTTGGAAAAAGAGTCTATGCAGGTATAATTTAGGATCTTTAGATGCCATCATCCAGGATTAACTGGATGAACTGTAAGTCCAAAGACATGTGTATTTAAAAGATACACACAGAGGAGAAGACCATGTAGAGACAGAGTCAGGGACTGATGTGATACAGACACAAGCCAAGGAGGAGTCACCAGAAGCCAAAAGAAGCAAGGAACAAAATTTCTACTACAGCCCGGGGAGAAAGTGCTACGTTTCCAACACCTTGATTTCAGAGTTCTGGCTTCCCGAACTATGAGAGAATAAATTTCTGTTCTTTTAAGCCATCCACTGGTAACAGTGGTAATTTGTCATGGCAGACACCAAAAACACAAAATAAAGTTATTGAAGAAATTGAAGAAAGTGATTTTACTTTCACTGACTTTTTAGAGTGTCTGTTTAGTACATCTATATATGTAATACATCTGTGTTAATAATGATATTCAAATTAATCTTCACCTATAAATGTTAACATTGTTTTTTATTTAATGAAGAGGTTTAAAGAGAAAGAGTTATGTATATTTATGTAGTATGTAATTATAATTAATAATCCCTTTATAAATTAATTACTATTTGAATAAAATGATGAAACCTAGAAAAGTGGTTTTTCATCAATATGTTGTTCTCTGTGTTGCAAAGTGATAAACTGTAGGCCTTTTTTAGTCTAAACTAGTTATTCATACTATGATGTATC